>NC_000010.11:5010000-5161515 GCF_000001405.40 Homo sapiens | reverse complement strand
TTACCACAGACTGCAGAGATACAATGGGAACCCCCACCTCTTTAGTGGGAGGGTCTCCCGTATGTACCCTTCAGCCCAACAAAAGAGAGATACCTGGGATGGTGCATGTGGCACAGATGGGCTCCTTTGGGCTCCGCTGATCTAACCTCTCATCACAGTGGACGTTGGCTGAGCACTTCTGATGTCCTTACTCTCTGAGTCGGGTGAGCGTAAACTGGGGCTAAACACACTGATGAATAGCTATATTAAGCACTGTCCTCCACACCAGCTTGTCCTTGGGAAACAAAATGAATTCCAACTGTAGGGACCTCATTCTTAGTGACGAGTAGGGATGTGTGGAGGATGGAACCTGGAAGTTATCTTTCTTTCCACTCATGTCTTTGCACACACATACACATATGTACACATAATCCACACATGCATGCAAACACATTTACACACATACCCACACACATATATATACACACATGCACACGTGCATGCAAATGTAGGCACAAATATGTGCACTCAGATTAATAATCACCACCTCCTGAAACTCTTGAAGGTTGTTTGGCCGAGCTCCTTAGGCACCAGAAAGGAGAATTCCATAGAAAATGTCCTTCTTTATCTTCTTTTCTATTTTCCAGCCTGGGAAAGAATTACTGCCAAAGGATGCCAGTGGAGAGATTATTTTAGAAACTGTGGAGCTTTGTGACACTTGGGAGGTATGTTCTGCTGCAGACACCAGGCAGCACTGTGTAGTGAGGTTGGAATTGCAGGAGGAGGGGTCAGAAGAGATGGGATTTTGCTCCAGCAGTTGTCTGACCTCAGATGTGGAGCTTCTCTGTGCCTCTGTGTTCTCATCTGTGAAGTGAGAGAGTGGAATGAGATGGCCTCTACAGTTCATTTTAATTGTAACTTCTAAGGTTCTAAGTAGACATAGAGGCACCTTTGGCCTTGAGATCAGGTTGAGGATGTGAGCCCTATAAGGGGTCAGCATAGAGAAGCACAAAAGGAGTCAGCATGTTATCTTTGGATAGAAACACATCATGGAGGAGGGACAGCTGCGGACTGACTCAGCAGGAGGGTGGAAGGTGCAGGACAGTGAACCTGCCCTTGAAAAACCCATTTGATTGATTTTTTTTCATTTTTTTTTCCCATTCTAGAACAGAGGTAGCAGAAAACCCTCTACTAACAGAAAACCCAAGAGTCTCCTTTGCTTATGACTCTGGTATAATTTGTTAAGGAACTATTGCATATCTCAAGCCAGATAGGTAGTATTGAAATAAGTGGGAGACAACAAATATGTCTACTTGCTGTTATGAGTATGCTTGTAATAGAATCAAGGAGACAAACATATATGCATAGCAAGGTAATGCATTAGGAAATTGTATATTCAAGTGATAAAACTGTTTAATTCAGTCTAATATTTATATATGTTAAAACAGATTTCCAGCATTTACAAAGTCAAACGCCAATTGAAAAGAAAAATTTACACTAAAGGTCTATCACCCATATCCTTCCTCCCCAGGCCCTGGAGAAGTGCAAAGAAGCAGGTTTAACCAGGTCCATTGGGGTGTCCAATTTCAATCACAAGCTGCTGGAACTCATCCTCAACAAGCCAGGGCTCAAGTACAAGCCCACCTGCAACCAGGTGAGCCCTTAGCCCACCGGGACCTTCTCTGACTTTTTGCTGTTCACACACTTCCTGCTTAATCATGTCTCCAAGTTTCTGCTTGATGTCTTCTGTGTAGATGAGAGTTCTTTTCTCTCAGAAATAGGAGATACCAGAGAAAGAGCAATTTGAGTGGGGTGGAAGAGCACAATTCTTCAGAAGGGGTGAAAGTTTCTATGAGACAGCCATGTGGAGGTGCTGAGTTGGGAAATGGCAGCTTTGGTCTGGAGCTCGGGATGGTCCAGGTGGAGATACAGATGTTTGGAGTCATTGCTTTATGGATGGTAACTAAACTCACAGACATGGATTTGTTCTCCTAGGGAAAGTTCATGGATGAAAAGGAACAGGTAGGAAGATCCACAGGAGAGGGTGAGGCAGAGAGGCACTGGCAAGGAGACTGAAAAGAAGCTGCCAGACAGATGGAGACAACCAGGAGAGGGTGGTGTCAGGAATCCAGTGAAAGTTTCGGTTTTATGAAAGAAATCAAGTCGTTTGTCCTGTAAAGATTTCCACATCACTTCCTAATGGCTTACTCATCGATCCACGTGACACACTTTGACATGTTCCTTTTGTACTTCCTGTAAATTGAAGCTTAGTGCTACAGATCTGATCTCACTTGATTAATGCCATGCGAATTTATGAATTTTAGCCAATACGTCATTTTCCATTCATCATAATTACTATTTTTTTGATGCTCAAGTTTCCATATTTTGACCAGCAGGAGCCTCTTCAAGTAAGATCCTGGGTCCTTTGGCAGCATGCGTCATTGTCATTCTTATCTTCTCTCCTTTCTAGAGTGCAAGCTCTTCTAGGCTCAAATGGAAACTTTCACACTCAGAACTGGAATATGCCCTTCCTCTAAGGAATCTTGGTTTCTTTCAGTAAAAATGGCTTTTAGAGGCTATAATTGGGGCACAAGGTATTTTAATAATTTTCAAACACGAATAGAAAAGGAATAAGAAAATTACTGTATCAGTGTGGCAAATGATGGGATTTGAAAGTGCTTCAGAAGGTGCATGGGGAAAAGGGCCAACATGAAAAGTATAGTACATCTATTAATGTAGTATTACACATTCCTTCAGACCAATTTTAAATTTGCATGTGGTTATTGGCTCATATATTGTGACACCTTTTGGTCTTGAAAAATTACAGGTGGAATGTCACCCTTACCTCAACCAGAGCAAACTCCTGGAGTTCTGCAAGTCCAAGGACATTGTTCTAGTTGCCTACAGTGCCCTGGGATCCCAAAGAGACCCACAGTGGTAATAAGAATGTCAAAGAGTTAACCTATGGCGGGAATTCTGCTGATGCTGAAAAACTCCTATTAAAGCGAAGTTTTAAAAATTGTATTATAAAAAAGCTCAAAGATTAAAAGCGAAAAGCAACGGTGTAGTTTGTTCCCATGTATCACTACTGAGCTTAAATGTCACCAACATTCTTTCCTTCCTGTTTCATCTATGTGACTACTTACTCCCAACCCCACTCCTAAAATAAATTTTAAAGTGGTCTTTAGGTAAGATTTGCCTAGGCTGTAATGCTGTACAATTTTGGCAAATGGACATACTCTGTAACCCACATCCCTAATGTGGTATACAAACTTGTTATCTCCCAAAGAAGTTATTTTTTTTCCTTCTGAGACAATAACTTCTCATTGCTAGGAAACTATTTTCTGGTTTTTTCACCTTAGATTAGTTTTGTGTGCTCTAAAATTTCCTATGAAAGAGATCATGTGCATTAGTTTGCACCTGGCTTCTTTCACCATATCTGTGAGCTGCATTCATGTAGCTGTGAGTATCTGTAGTTCTTTCCATTTTATTTCTGGGTGTTATTCCAGGGTATGGATAACTTGTTTATCCATTCACCTGTTAATGGACAGCCTTATTGTTTCCAGTTCACTGCATTTATGAATGAATCCATATGAATAGTTATCAGACCGTTTTAAATCAAATTGTATTGTGCCCACTCCTCTCAACTCTCTGGAGAATTTGGGGAAAAGGAGCAGCGCACTGTAGATTTTCCATCCTGCATCCTTCACATCTGTGTCTGTTCCCTCCCCAACAGGGTGGATCCCGACTGCCCACATCTCTTGGAGGAGCCGATCTTGAAATCCATTGCCAAGAAACACAGTGGAAGCCCAGGCCAGGTCGCCCTGCGCTACCAGCTGCAGCGGGGAGTGGTGGTGCTGGCCAAGAGCTTCTCTCAGGAGAGAATCAAAGAGAACTTCCAGGTAAAGGTTGAGCAGAGTCGCTCCAGAGTGAGCCATGGGTGCTGATCTGGGCGATCTCTCTTACATGGGAGAATGCGACACGTGTCATTCATTCCTGTGCTCTCCACTCTGTGCTAAGGGAGGAGGGCAGTGTGGAAGGATCGACGAGAGGGCACTGAACTCAGAGTCCTCAGGTTTATCATCTCTAGGCTTGGCTTTGCCACTTACTAGTTGGTTGACACTAAGCAAATTTCAACTCACTTATTTTCATCCGTTTCAGGAGTTCTTCTACATGGTAATGAACTTTAAGGACCCTGATTCTTCTCCTTCACCTTCTCTACCTATAAATGCCTATTTGTATTTTAAAATCAAACCCAAATAAAATTAGCTGCTCTGTTAAACTACTGGGACACCCCAGGCCAGTTTTCACCACAAAAGCCCCTGGCCTGGCATGACTCTGTTAGTGAGTTTTTTGTTTATTAATTTTACATCATTTGCTAATACTTCAGTGTGCTCTCTGGACTGTGAGAACCTAAATACAATGGCTCCTTCTGGATTATCTTTTATTACCCTTCCCCTGGCAGTGACTCTAGCAGGTATGAAACTAGGCATAAGTTTACAGACCAACCAAACTAAGAAATTGAGGAGTGAAGTTATCTTGTAAACCCTTCTCCACATCCACTCTGGACCTTGTATTAATCACAGGTCTCCAACTTATTTTGTTTTGAATCCCACAAGAATTTTGAAAAAATATGTAAGCTGTTTCTCATTTTAAAATGACAGCTACAAATTTTATTATGAGTTTAATATTTACAAGAGATGACATTTGAGTCATATATAATGTATTTATTTCAAAATATTGTAGTTCTAGATTAAGTATATTAACTTGTGGAAAAATTAAATAGGTAAATCTAAATCTCATTGTGACAACTTAAACAAAAAATGCCCATTTTATTTTTTGATCCAATTCAAAATGTTAATACCTGCTCTCATGACAACCATATAACTTCTGAAGTACATTTTTAAAAAGAGTGGTGGATAAATGTGTTGGTAGATAGAAAGAAGATGGACGGATACATATAGAGAAAGAGATAAATACATTAGATAGATAGATAGATAGATAGATAGATCTGAGTCTTTCATGAAATTGTGTCCTGGATCACATAATGAAAGTAGCATTTTTTTTTTAACCAAAAAATATCTGTTTTACTATTAATGGGCTCCTCATCAGGGACTATGTGTTGACAAATGAAAACTACTCTTGACTTAAGTAAGAGAGATTTATTAAAAATGCAGAACTCTTTGAACATAAGATCTAAGTGTCTCAAAGATCAATTAGTAAGCATTTTTTATAAGGAAGAGCAAACACAGCTGGAAATAGTATTTAGGGGTCCTGAGGTGAGCAAGTAGAACAGTTGTCCAGAAAATGCTTTTTCTGAGGCAAACAGATTCTTGAGTGGGAGTTTCCTGTGTTCTAAGGCTCTGTCATTCCAAGGCTGGATCAGGTTCCACGGGAAGTGAGGAAACAAATCCCTGACCAAGTGTGGACATGTCCAGGTGGCAGTTATTTTGCATACTTTATTTTCTATTTTAAAATAAAGGATTTCCTTTTTCTGCCTCAAGCAATTCTCAATAAATATTTTAGATTGATGAGTGCACACCTTTCTTTTGAGAAGTGGAGCCCAGTAGGAGAGGGATGGGATGGAGAAGAGGCAGAATGAAGGTGGAAGAGGTCTCAGGTGGAAGACGTCTCAAGCCACATGCACCTGGAAGCTGATGAGGATGAAAATGCTTCCCCCAATGCCATCCTTGCCTCTGCCTCCTGGAAAGTCCTTGTATTCCCATGTAGAAGCTGCTGCCCTGGGGAGGGGTTAATGTGAGTGTTTTCTTCCTTTCAGATTTTTGACTTTGAGTTGACTCCAGAGGACATGAAAGCCATTGATGGCCTCAACAGAAATCTCCGATATGACAAGTTACAATTGTAAGTGATGCTTGTAGATTCTCTCACAGGCTGTTTTCTGTAGTATGCAGGGAAATGGGGAACACATCTTCCCTACATCAGGAAGACAGGCCCAAATTCAGGCATGGGGTGAAATAGGAGATGCCCTGTAGCCTTCAGACCAGAGGTTTCCTCCAGGACTCAATCTCTGACCCAGCAGAAATGTGTCTGTAAGTGAAACTGCCAATGTCTGCACCATTGTGAATCCAATTCTTGAAGGCCCTTACTATCTGTGCCTGGGTCTAGCACTCAGGGCCCACTGCCTATGAGTCTAGAAGGCTCAGTGTGTAGGACCTACAAACCTATAGGGGCCCATCATAACGTTCTCTTTAATTTATATTAAAATCAGAAGAAAAATGAATACAATAATAATGCATATGTAATAATGACTCCATCCAGCTCTATCTTTGTGTTTACATCATGGCAATGGAAACACAATTTAAGTATTAATACAGGATGGGCCCATGAAGGCAAAGGTGCCTGTCTCCTAGGGAAGCCTTAATGTGGTATTCCCTCTTCAGGATACCAACTATTTCTGCAAAAATTTATGTCTTTCTTGGCCCTCTTTACCTACCACAACTCCCATTTCCTCAGCTATATAATCTCACCATGCTGAATTGTGAATGAATTATGAGATTAATAGACCCTCAAATGCTAGTGACTGAGGTGTCAATAGCCTTTACCAAGATAAGATCCTTTGGAGTTTCTCTGGATCCTCAAGGCATGACTCTTACTCCAGTGTCATCTTTGTCCACCTGAAGTCCACCTCTGGAGAGCCCAACATCCCTTGACTTTGGTTTATTTATAAACGTGACGTTCCAGTTGCTCAACTACTGCAGGATCTCAGGACTAAGGAGAGAGAAGGCTAAATAGAGAGGAGTTTAGAGGAAAGTTTAGAAGCAGGGGAAATACAATTTTGGTTGCCAGAGTAAAGACTCAGTCTCCAAAAAAGATCTGAAGAATCCTCCTTTATGTAAAACCACACCAAGATTCTGAGAGGAAACATTTTCAATGAGAAAAATGTGGGAAGTAACTTTTCTGTACCCAGAGGCTAAGTATAAGTCTGTGATCTGCCTTATGAGACTGTGAATGCATTGTCTTACTCATGTCTGTGGCCCTGTGTCAATATGACTCCTGGCACATTTAACTGCTTAGAAGGTACTCTTTAATGTCACCCAATTAAAAAGAACAAATTGTAAAAAAGAAAAATGAACATAAAAAGGAAAACAAACAGTAATTTTAATTACTAACAAGTATCTTTATGATTATATTTAAATAAGTCATAATTGTGTTTTTCAGGTGTGGGTATTAGAAATGCATCTCATCCCCTCCATAGATTAAACCATGTGTGCCGAGGTACAAGTAGGGACGTGGTGGTAAATTCGGGAATTTTAGCCCATCCCAAGTGCTTCTTCAGAAAAACTCTTTGACAGAATGGAAAAAAGTTACTAAATTAATATTTTTTCTCTTTCAGTGCTGCTAATCACCCTTATTTTCCATTTTCTGAAGAATATTGACCATGAGCTATTGAACATTACCACCACAATTTCCTCCTTTTAGGTGACAGAGAGAGGATTTCAGTATTTGATAGAGGAGTAGGAAGTAGGATCTGTAGTTGCAGGTTGCTTGCCTTTCTTTATTTTATGAAATGAAGACTTTAACAAGAAGATGTTTGTTTTTCCTGATTATTAAAGTAATACCCATAAATTTTAGAAAAATAAAAAATACAAAAAAAGACCTGTAATTCTTTCCTTACAGAATACTTATCATTTGATGCATTTTCCTTCATGATTTTTCTAAACAACATGTCTGATATGGTTTGGATCTGTGTCCCCACACAAATATCATGTCAATGATAATCTCCAGTATTGGAGGAGGGATCTGGTGGGAGGTTATTGGATCATAGGGGCGGTCTTTACCCTTGCTGTTCTGGTGATAGTGAGTTCTCATGAAATCTGGTTGTTTAAAAATGTGTAGCATCTCCCCTTCACTCTCTTCCTGCTGCTCTGGCCACATGAAGACGCGTCTGCTCCCCCTTGCCTTCCACCATGACTGTAAGTTTCCTGACGCTTACCCAGCCATGCATCCTACACAGCCTGCAGAACTGTGAGCCAATTAAACTTTTATAAAAGTTACCCAGTCTTAGGTATTCCTTTATAGCAGTGTGACAACGGACTAACCCAATGTTCACTTATTTACATATGTGTTTTTATAAACTTGAAATAATCAATGTTCAGATTCTATACTTTTTAAATAACTACCATATTTTTCCAAGCAAGCAACTATTATTCAAAAATTACAGAATTATATTTTACTTGTTGTAAAGCAGTGTATCTTTCAATGTATTTTGTTTCTTAATCATCTACCCACATTTCGGCATTTTTATTATTTTTGTATATTGTTCCATTCATTCATTTATTAAGCAAAACTTTATTGAGTATCCATTGTATGCCACACGTTGTTTTAGCAGTAAATTAAATAGGCAAAAATTAAACAAAATAAAAATTTTAAAATCCCTGAGTTTGTAGTCTAGTGGAGAATGTCAACTATGAATGCAAGAAACATATAAGTACGTAGTTGTTAGAAATTGCTAAGTGCTTGTAGGGAGATCCTTCTGCAAGATCTCTAACATTGCTGCATATTTGATAAGGCCACTGATTGCCCTCCATTCCAAACTTTTTTTTCAAGAAATTTGTACATTGAACAGCTTTGTCATATAAAGGTGGTAGCTCCCTCCAAGAAAATGAAGACATGTTTACTGTCCAGTAATACAAAGAAAAGAAAATATCTCCCCGCATTAAAATCACAGCTTTAGGGGCTAAGAGAAAATTTTCCCTTTGCACTCTGAAGGGCCAATGAAAATCACCTGATGAAAGGCAGACTCATTATGAAAAGGCATACAATTTAATTAATGTTGGGACTCATAAAACAATACCCTCAAATGAAGGCCCCAGAAGCAAAAGGTTTTCTCTGACCCTCTCCTAATCTGCTGTCTCTCAGTCCCATTCTTCTCCAAGGCTAGCCACAGAAACTAGAATCCCTCTTCCCCACAGCATTTCCACGGAGAAAAATGTTAATGTCTGAAGTAGTCCACAGATGAGGTTTTCTAGAGTCCTTGAAGTATTTTTAAATTGCAATGGCAATCTGACAATTTTTCTGAGTTGTAGTTTGATCCTGGTGTTCCAGTAAATTTTCTGAGCAGTTTATACATCAACAGTCACAAAGCTACTTATACAAGTTGCTGTGATGATTTACTCTGAGCCACATAGATCAGTTTGCTTAAAAAATTGTGTCCATTTTTGGCGGTAACAGCAAATATGGGCTAGAGCTCTATGTATGATTCAAGCAAACAGTGGCATTCCCAAATGGGAACTGGAAAGACAAAAATTATGTTTCAAAAAACTATAGCACACCTGTTGTTAGTTGTTCTTGAGTTTTTATTATTTTCTGTAATTTGCACTAAATCCCAAATTCTTTGTGGGCTGCAAGTCCCCAAACTAGTGCTTTCAAATTTTTACATTTAAAACTGGAAATTGCACTCTTTATCCTAGAATTCATTATTTACCTGATAGTATGCTGTTTGTTTAAATGCTATACTAAAATTATAGATGACAATAATAATGCCTTTGTCATGCAAACCTTAGAATCCCAGCCCAGCCTGCATGAGTACAGACCTCAACTTGAGGTCAACTCTATTCCTACTATGACTCCTGTCAGCAGGAAGAAGCCAGAGTGGTCATTGGCCTTTTCCCATTTTTATAGCCCACACCTTAAGAATAAGGTGTTATAAAACTCAAAGGGGCTGGGTGCAGTGGCTCATGCCTTTAATCCCAGCACTTTGGGAGGCCGAGGTGGGCAGATCACCTGAGGTCAGGAGTTTAAGACCAGCCTGGCCAACATGGTGAAATCCCATCTCTACTGAAAATACAAAAATTAGCCAGGCATGGTGGTGTGTGCCTGTAATCCCAGCTACTTAGGAGGCTGAGGTAGGAGAATCACTTGAACCCAGGAGGCAGAGGTTGCAGTAAGCTGAGATTGTGCCACTGTATGCCAGCCTGGGTGACAGAACAAGACTGTGTCTCAAAAAAAAAAAAAAAAACCCAAAGGGAAGAATTGAAACCACTAGTACAAAATTATAATTAGAAAATTATTGCAGTGAAAGAGAAGGAAACAAACTGACTCCATCCTGCTTCTAACCTCCAAGCTCTTCTTGTTCACTCATGGGCATAGGCTGAACTAACTTTTGGGGGAACTTAGTTTGTAGTTTGAAACAAAGATGATAACAGCCCTTTCCCAAAACAAACCCTTTCCTGCCTGGGGACTAGACTGCTTTAGTAGGACTAATATATTAGCCACAAGATTAGAAATTATGGTTTACGAGTCATGCGGCTGGAGGCTATAAGATTCTGAACTTCCATAAATTGCTCCTGGATAACATCACTTTTGTAAAGCCTAAGATCAGTGCTTGAGATATTTTGCAGACCCTGAACCTGATAGATCAGCTGGTGCCACCCAGATTAATAAACTGGCTCATTCGGTCTTGTGCCCCCCACCCATGAACTGACTCAGTGCAAGAGGACAGCTTCAACTCCCTATGATTTAATCTCCAACCCAACCAATCAACACTCCTGACTCACTGGTCCCCTACCCACCAAGTTATTCTTAAAAATTCCAACCCCTGAGTCTTCAGGGAGACTGATTTGAGTAGTAATAAAACTCTGTTCTTCTATATACCTGGAACAGTGTGAATTAATCTCTTTCTCTATTGCAATTCCCCTGTCTTGATAGATCAGCTCATTCTAGGCAGTGGCAAGGAGAACCCACCGGGCAGTTACAATGTTGTCTTGATTAGGTCTTATTTCTTGGGAAACTGAGTCTCCTTTCTATGAGAAGTAGAGGTTTTTTTTTTAATCTTTGCATTATTATGTGGCTAAATGAATGACTTATTTTACAGTGATCTGTGACTTTATTTTGTGGTATAAAATGTCTTAAGGCTTTGCTATTTGACAAACGTTCCAAAAATCAAAAGTTCAAGTTACACATTTAGTCTTTTTTACCTCATTAACTTTCACAAATATTAGGGCTCCTAAAGTCCAAAACTTACATATTTGAGATGTTAAAATTATACAGGAAGCATTGTCAAATATGAAATAGTGTTTAACTTTCTTTGAGTGTGATTTATATAGGGTGTTATTAATATGTGTTCTTCAATTATATGAGATTTCTATAATTCTGATATATCTTAGTATATATTCTTAATTATTATAATTTTTATGTTAAATTGGTGTATGGCATAAAATATTCCTTTGTCAATTGTGTCTTTGATCATGGCTATCCTAAGAATTTTGTCATCCAAAGACAATTGTTGTCTTAATTTGATCCTTCTCAAAAAGCAACTTATAATCACCTCTTGTCCAAGACTTGCTTCTTTAAATACACTTGCAGAAAGGAGTCCAACGGGTACATTTAAATGCATTTTTGTAGTAACCATGGAAATTGTGCCATTGGACTAAAGAAAACATCCTGGAATCCCCTCAGTGAAGAGCTAATATGTTCATAAAATTATTAGCTCCAATATCAAACAACATGAGTTCATTGCATGGGACCAAACTAATAGAAGACTAAAACAATTTTATGACATTTTGTTTAAATTACTGCTGATTCTTTCTGTTTTGTTTTTCAAAGTCCAGAAGACTTTATTCTTTTGAGCTGTTTTTATAGCTTTCAGTGACTGAGTAAAATATTCTTTTTTGAGAAAAATTTGAAACAAAATTTGAAAAATATTTTTTCTCTTCGCCTAATTCTTCCAGAATTTGAAACGTATTTGTGAGTATTCTTAATTTATGGCAACATAGTTATTCACATAAGTTTAATAAGAATGTGTTTGTTTTTGGAATAAGACACTAATAATTTATCAAAGCTTTAACTGGAATGACATATTTGCAGAAATGAACAGATTACTTTGAGAAATGGAGGTTAACTTTATAAAGCCAATAAAAGTGCCTTGGAAAGACTGTCCTTTTACCTTGCCTATTCCATCTACAGGGTTTCTTACCTGTGAAAAATAAAGAATGCCATTTTATGACAGGTCCAGTAACTTCAAGTTATTTTGAGACCACAAAAAAGAGAAAATAAACCAATTTATGCAATTCATCTGAAGGCACAGATACATTTTTGGCTGAGATAGAAAGGTCTTTAAAAGTCTAATCTGAGAGTCTTTTAAATAGCTTCAGCAAAGCCAATTTATAAAGAGCCTATTGAACAATAATTATTCTTGTTGCAATGTATGCAAATAATCAGGCCAAGAATAATAAGACTATGACATATTTTGCAAATAAATTGTTTCTATCATTATTTGTCTTTGATAAAATCTAGGGACTGGAGAGAAAAAGTATGTTTCAAAAGAAACTATAGTACACCTGTTATTAGAGTCTACACTTGTCCATTGCTTCTCAGTTTTTATTACTTACTACAATTTATCTGGTCTGAATCCTAAATTATTTTCTGGCTACAAGTCAACAAAATTATGTTTTCATTTTTTTCTACTACTTTCCTTACTTGGAATCACCAAACATTTAAATATATATAACAGCTATATATATATTTGTGCTTACTGACTGTAGAGTTTTTAGTAGTAAAGACAGAATCTGTCTTCCAGGATTCCTTTCCTTTTCTTGTTGTAATCTGACCTTGGCATCTTTTTTTCTATTTTTTCTTTCTTTCTGTCCCTGCTTTCTTCCACAGGACGCAAGACTTCACAGCCTCCTAGAAATTAGACTTCCTGGTATGACATAGGAATGAGCCTTACTAAGAAAGGAAAGAAAGAAAAATATATTCTCTGGACCCCATACTCACTATGTCAGAAGGAAAGTTAAGCTTGGTAATGGAGTCATCCAAAAGCTGCCTTCCTTTTATTTCCAAACAGATATCTGTAATTTTGCATGCTTACTATATCCTATATAAAATGTAGATTTATTGAGCGCAAGACAAATGCACAATTTTTTCCCTACTGCTTTGTTTTCACGTGTAAGATAGTAGATTCAGTGAGCACTAATAAGAGGCTCACAAGAATGTAATCACTTGCCTCATTCTGTACCTGACCTGCATTTTTTTATCCTCAAATATTTGTTCTTTACCCTTTAGATATTGCAGTTCCCAAAATCCTCTTTGAAAAAAGTTCAGGTCAAAGATCTTACTGTGACTTGCATTTTTCTTTCTTGGGTGTGTCCTCAACCTTGCCAAAACAAACCTCTAATAGATTGATATCTGCCTGGGTTACTTTTTGGTTTACAATAAGATCAATTATTTATTTGAGGCACATGAGTGTTATTGCTGACTCAAGGATGCCCTGCATCTCTCCTCCCCACTTCTTATTTTTACTTTCCTCCTTCCCTGCTTCTCCCCTCCTCCTCTCTATCTCCTATGTTCCTCCTCCTCTCTATCTCCTATACTACTGAGCATTCTCCTGGCCTCCTGAGATCAGTTTCTCATTCAGCCAGATTGTATACAATCTTCAGGCAGAAGCCCCCACGTAGCAGCCACCTAGTCCCTTGAGTCTTGTGAAGCCAGAGGCCTCACACCTGGCTACTGGAGGAAATGCTGAGTAGAAAAATACAAAAAAAGGAGGGGAGTTTCAAACCTGATATCTCTGTGGCACAAGAGTAGTTGAGATTTGGCAGCTTCGCTGAGCCAGGCAGAAGCCTAATGCATGGGTGGAGGCCCCACCCAGAGTCTCTACTTGAGCAATGATAAGCAGAAATGTGGGATCAGAAGTCACCATGGTGTTTCTACCTAGTGGAGATGTGGGAGCAGGACCACAGCCGTCCAGATCCCAGAATCACAGACCCTTTGGCAGCTTGAAACTTCTGCCTGGAAAAGTCTCACAGGCATAGAACTCCAACCTGTAAGAGTAGCCATGTGGGCTGTGCCCAGCAAAGCCATGGAGACAGGGCTGCCCAAATGCTTGAGAGCTGGCCCTTTGCATCAATGTGCCCAGGATGCAGGACACAAAGTCACCAGAAATTATCTTGGAACTATAAGGTTGAACGTCTGCCTTGCTGGGATTCTGGCTTCCACAGGTCCTGTTTCTCCTGACTTTACCCACACCATTTTTTTTTTTGGTTAATTTTTTACCTTCTGGAAAAGGAATGTTTACTCACAACTGATAACGATGTTGTACTTCAAAAGCAAATAACTTGTTTTTGACTTCACAGGCTCATAACCAGCAGGAACTTGCCTTGAGTCTGAGATGAACTTTTGTACTTTGGAATTTTAAGTTGGTGCTGGGCCAGGGGAAGAATGCTGTAATTGCGATATTTGACCCTCTAAACCATATGCTGAGTTCTCAATGTAGGAAGTGGGGCCTAGTGGGATTGTTATGGTCATTGGGACAGATCCATCATGAGTGGCTTGGTGCTCTGCCTGCAGTAGTGAGTGAATTCTTGCATTATTTCTTTTCTTGATGGCTGCTTGTTAAAAAGAGCCTGGCACCTTACTCGCCTTCTATTGCTTTCCTATCTCACCATCTGACGTCAGCGCATGCTAACTCCACGTCTCCTTTTGCCATGAATGGAAGCAGCCTGGGGCCCTCACCAGAGGCCTACCAGATACCAGTGCCATGCTTCTTGTACAGTATGCAGAACCATGAGCCAAAGAGACTTCTTTATAAATTACTCACCTTCGGGTATGCCTTTATAGCAACACAAATGTACTAAGACAGTATCTAATTTCTCTACACACCTAGAACCAGTACATCCTGAGTGAGTGATCTTAATACCCGATAATCACAGACATACCATTAGTGACAAAGCTTTCCATTTGAGAAGATAACCCTTCTAGACATTGGCTTAGGCAATGATTTCATGACCAAGAACCCAAAAGCAAATGCAATAAAAGCAAAGATAAGTAGCTGGGACCTAATTAAACTAAAGAGCTTTTGCATGGCAAAAGGAACAGTCAGCAGAGTAAACAGACAACCCATAGAGTGGGTTATTTTGAATAGTTTTCCATAACTATTCAAAAGTATCATATATAGAGTCACTAATTTCCTGGCCTTTCACAAATTGTGGAGTATGGTAATGTGGATAGTTTATGCATCTGCAAAAACAGTTCATATTGTAAACTATTAGCACTTTCTATATTACGAGACATAAGCTTCTCTCTCGGGATATCTAGAAGCTCTTAGGTCATGGATACATTGCTTGATCTGTTATTTCAAATACCTGAGCTAATTTTTTTAACTTTACCAATCAACATTAGTTACAACCAAGCAACATTATTTTATTGAATAATTTTTTTTCTTCTTTTATTATTATACTTTAAGTTTTAGGGTACATGTGCACATTGTGCAGGTTAGTTACATACGTATACATGTGCCATGCTGGTGCTGCACCCACTAACTCGTCATCTAGCATTCGGTATATCTCCCAATGCTATCCCTCCCCCCTCCCCCCACCCCACAACAGTCCCCCAGAGTGTGATGTTCCCCTTCCTGTGTCCATGTGACCTCATTGTTCAATTCCCACCTATGAGTGAGAATATGCGGTGTTTGGTTTTTTGTTCTTGCAATAGTTTACTGAGAATGATGATTTCCAATTTCATCCATGTCCCTACAAAGGACATGAACTTATCATTTTTTATGGCTGCATAGTATTCCATGGTGTATATGTGCCACATTTTCTTAATCCAGTCTATCATTGTTGGACATTTGGGTTGGTTCCAAGTCTTTGCTATTGTGAATAGTGCCGCAATAAACATATGTGCACATGTGTCTTTATAGCAGCATGATTTATAATCCTTTGGGTATATACCCAGTAATGGGATGGCTGGGTCAAATGGTATTTCTAGTTCTAGATCCCTGAGGAATCGCCACACTGACTTCCACAATGGTTGAACTAGTTGACAGTCCCACCAATAGTGTAAAAGTGTTCCTATTTCTCCACATCCTCTCCAGCACCTGTTGTTTCCTGACTTTTTAATGATTGCCATTCTAACTGGTGTGAGATGGTGTCTCACTGTGGTTTTGATTTGCATTTCTCTGATGGCCAGTGATGATGAGCATTTTTTCATGTGTTTTTTGGCTGCATAAATGTCTTCTTTTGAGAAATGTCTGTTCATGTCCTTTGCCCACTTTTTGATGGGGTTGTTTGTTTTTTTTCTTGTAAATTTGTTTGAGTTCATTGTAGATTCTGGATATTAGCCCTTTATCAGATGAGTAGGTTGCGAAAATTTTCTCCCATTTTGTAGGTTGCCTGTTCACTCTGATGGTAGTTTCTTTTGCTGTGCAGAAGCTCTTTAGTTGAATTAGATCCCATTTGTCAATTTTGTCTTTTGTTGCCATTGCTTTTGGTGTTTTAGACATGAAGTCCTTGCCCATGCCTATGTCCTGAATGGTATTGCCTAGGTTTTCTTCTAGGGTTTTTATGGTTTTAGGTCTAACGTTTAAGTCTTTAATCCATCTTGAATTGATATATGCAAATCAATAAATGTAATCCAGTATATAAACAGAGCCAAAGACAAAAACCACATGATTATCTCAATAGATGCAGAAAAGGCCTTTGACAAAATTCAACAACCCTTCATGCTAAAAACTCTCAATAAATTAGGTATTGATGGGACATATTTCAAAATAATAAGAGCTATCTATGACAAACCCACAGCCAATATCATACTGAATGGGCAAAAACTGGAAGCATTCCCTTTGAAAACTGGCACAAGACAGGGATGCCCTCTCTCACCACTCCTATTCAACATAGTGTTGGAAGTTCTGGCCAGGGCAATTAGGCAGGAGAAAGAAATAAAGCGTAGTCAATTAAGAAAAGAGGAAGTCAAATTGTCCCTGTTTGCAGACGACATGATTGTATATCTAGAAAACCCCATTGTCTCAGCCCAAAATCTCCTTAAGCTGATAAGCAACTTCAGCAAAGTCTCAGGATACAAAATCAATGTACAAATATCACAAGCATTCTTATACACCAATAACAGACAGAGAGCCAAATCATGAGTGAATTCCCATTCACAATTGCTTCAAAGAGAATAAAATACCTAGGAATCCAACTTACAAGGGATGTGAAGGACCTTTTCAAGGAGAACTACAAACCACTGCTCAAGGAAATAAAAGAGGATACAAAGAAATGGAAGAACATTCCATGCTCATGGGTAGGAAGAATCAATATCGTGAAAATGGCCATACTGCCCAAGGTAATTTACAGATTCAATGCCATCCCCATCAAGCTACCAATGCCTTTCTTCACAGATTTGGAAAAAACTACTTTAAAGTTCATATGGAACCAAAAAAGAGCCCGCATCGCCAAGTCAATCCTAAGCCAAAAGAAGAAAGCTGGAGGCATCACGCTACCTGACTTCAAACTATACTACAAGGCTACAGTAACCAAAACAGCATGGTACTGGTACCAAAACAGAGATATAGATCAATGGAACAGAACAGAGCCCTCAGAAGTAACACCGCATATCTACAACTATCTGATCTTTGACAAACCTGAGAAAAACAAGCAATGGGGAAAGGATTCCCTATTTAATAAATGGTGCCGGGAAAACTGGCTAGCCATATGTAGAAAGCTGAAACTGAATAATTTTCCATAACTATTCAAAAGTATCATATATAGAGTTACCAATTTCCTGGCCTTTTGCAAATTGTGGAATATGGTAATGTGGATAGTTTATGCATCTCTAAGAACAGTTCATATTGTCAACTATTAGCACTTTCTGTATTATTGGAAATAGAGTCTTTAGTATTCTCAAGTTTGGTTAGATTAGAGTGGTCATTCCATAAACTCCAAAATGAATTCAGAAAACTCAGTATAAATTCTGTTCCCCTAGAACCACTTCCACTGCCAAAATCAATATGGTTAAAATTCTCCAAAGAAACAGAAATCTAAAATATATATAGATATAAATATATAGATATTATATATAATATATATCTAAATATATTTAATAATATATCTAGTATATGTTAGATCCATATGTTTACACATGTATTATATATACATGTATATGTGTGTCATCTCATATATAAATGTATAAAATCATTTTTATGATTTTATGTATGAACAGGAATACATTTGAGGGATTGCCTCATTTCAATTATGTTTTCTGAAAAGCGCTACCAAGCACCTTTCAAAAGCTGTAGAACCATGAAAGCCAGTGCCATGGCCAATTCCAACTGTGAAGGCCTGAAATCAGGGGAGTCATCAAAGTATCCTCCAGTCTAAGGCTGAAAGCCTGAGAAGCTGAGGGCCACTGGTGAAAGTCCTAGAGTGCAAAGATCAGAAGGCCTGGAGTTCTGATGTTTCTGACGTCCAGGGGTAGAAGGCACTCGTGAACAAGTTCAAAGATCAGAAGGCTTGGAGTTCTGATGTCCACGGGTAGAAGATGGGTGACCCAGCTTCAGGAGAGAGAGAGCAAGCTGACTTTTCCTCTGCTTGTTTATCAGAAACGTCAGCTAATAGAAGGGTTGTTTCCCATATTGAATTAGGGCAATTTTTTTAAGTTGGTCCCTTGATTCAAATGTCAATATCATGCAGAGTCATCCTCACAGGTACACCCAGAAATGATGCCCTACCATGTATTGGCATACTGCTTAATCCAATCCAGTTGGCACCTAAAATTAACGGTTACACTTGATATATTCCTTATAAATTAACCCATTTATGAACACAGTACACCTCATTTTGTTATGACTCACTTTTTTGTCCTTCAAAGATACTGTATTTTTTTAAAAAAGGAATTGAACATTTGTAGCAACCCTGCATTGAACAAGCCTGTTAGTACCATTTTTCCAATAGCACATGTTCACTCTGTGTTTTTTCCCCACATTTCAGTAATTTTTGCAATATTTCAAACTTCCACTGTATTATTATATCTGTTATGGTAATGTCTGATCTGTAATCTTGATGTTACTGTTATACTTGTTTTGGGATACCCTAAACTGTGCCCATATAAGATAGTGAATGCAATAGATAATTGTGTGTCTTCTGACCGCTTCAGTGACAGGTGGTTCCCCTATCTCTTTCCCTCTGTTCAGGCCTTCCTATACCCTAAGACATAACGATGTTAAAACTAGGTCAAATTGTAACCCTACAGTGACCTCTAAATATTCACATGAAAGAAAGAATAACGTATTTTTCATTTAAGCACAAAAGCTACACATGATTAAGCTTATTGAGGAATGCATGTTGAAGGCTGAGGTAGGTTGAAAGCTAGGTCTATTGTGTTAATTATTAGCCAAGTTGTGAATACAAAGGAAAAGTTCTTTAAGGAAACTACAGTGCTACTCCAGTGAATACGAAATGGTTAGAATGCAAAACAAGCTTTACTACTGATAAGAAGAAAGTTTTAATGACGTGGACAGAAGATCAACCAGCCACAACATTCCCTTAGGCCAAAGCCTAATCCAGAAGAAGACCTTAACTCTCTTCAAGTGTATGAAGGCTCATAGAGGTGAGGATGCGGCAGAGAAGATGTTAGAAATCTAGTAGAGGTTGATTCATGAGGTTGAATAAAATAAGCCATTTCCATAACAAAAAAGTGCAAAATAAAGCAAGTACTGATGGAGAATCTGCAGCAGGTCAACCAGAAGATTTATGTAAGATCATTAATGAAAGCGACTACAATAAGCAATCGATTTTGAATGTAGATGAAAGGGCCTTGTACCAAAAAAGGTGCCATCTAGGACTTTCATATTTAAAAGGAAGTCAATGCCTGGATTCAAAAGACAGGCTGACTCTTGTGTTAGTAGCTCCCATTCCTGGTGATTTCAGGATAAAACCAATGCTTTGTTATAATTTCAAAACCATGCTCTATAAATAGAAAAAGCTGTCTTACAGCATAGCTCTTTATAGCATGGTTACTGAATATTTCAAGTCTACTGTTTAAAATAAAAAGCAGAAGTTGAAACCTGCTCAAAAATAGAGATTCCTTTCAAAATATTACTGTTGAATGGCAATACACCTGGTTAATAAAGAGTTCTAATGCAGAGGTACCAAAAGATTACTTCTGTTTTTATGACTGCTTTCACAATATTTATTCTTCAGTACATGGATAAAGGAGCAATTTTAACTTTCAAGTCTTATTGTTCATAAAATACATTTCAATCAGTTACAGCTGCTGTAGATAATGATTCTTCTGATGAATCTAGGAAAAGTAAATGGAAAGCCTTCTGGAAAGAATTCAGCATTCTGAATGCCATCATGAAAATTTGTAAGAAATTCATAAGAAAATGTCAAAATATCAACATGAATAGAAGTTTGGAAAAAGTTAATTACAACTCTCATGGATGATTTTAAGGGGGTTAAGGCTTTGGTAACTGCAGATGTAATGGAAATAGCAAGAAAGGTAGAATGAGAAGTAGAGCCTTAATATGTGACTGAATTGCTGTAATTTCATGATAAAACTTTAAGAGATTAAGAGTTCCTTCATATGAATGCACAAAAAGTTGTTCTTGGGTTGAAATCTACTCTTTTCTTAACCATTGTGAGATGGTGAAGATGCTGTAAATATTGCTGCAATGACAACAAAGGATTTAAAATATTATGAAAAGATAGTTGATAAAGCAGTGGCTGGGTTACAGAGAATTGACTTCAACTTTCAAAGAAGTTCCACACTGTGTAAGCTGTCAAACAGCAGAGAAATCTCTCTACAGAGAAATCTTTCATGAAAGAAGTCTATCAATGAGGCAAATTTCATTGTTGTATTTTATTTAAGAAATTGCCACAGTCATTTCAGAACTCAGCAACCATGACCCTGATCAGTCAGCAGCAATCAACAGTGAGGGAATAATTTCTTTCTTTCTTTCTTTTTTTAAATTATACTTTAAGTTCTAGGGTACATGTGCACAATGTGCAGGTATGTTGCATATATGTACATGTGCACAATGTGCAGGTATGTTGCATATATGTACATGTGCCATGTTGGTTTGCAGCACCCATTAACTCGTCATTTACATTAGGTATTTCTCCTAATGCTATCCCTCCCCCAACCCCCCACCCCACAACAGGTCCTGGTGTGTGATGTTTCCCGCCCTGTGTCCAAGCGTTCTCATTGTTCAGTTCCCACCTATGAGTGAGAACATGTGGTGTTTGGTTTTCTGTCCTTGAGATTGTTTGCTCAGAATGATGGTTTCCAGCTTCATCCATGTCCCTACAAAGGACATGAACTCATCCTTTTTTATGGCTGCATAGTATTCCATGGTGTATATGTGCCACATTTTCTTAATCCAGTCTATCATTGATGGACATTTGGGTTGGTTCCAAGTCTTTGCTATTGTGAATAGTGCTGCAGTAAACATATGTGTGCATGTGTCTTTATAGTAGCATGATTTATAATCCTTTGGGTATATACCCAGTAATGGGATCGCTGGGTCAAATGGTATTTCTAGTTCTAGATCCTTGAGAAATCGCCACACTGTCTTCCACAGTGGTTGAACTAGTTTACACTCCCACCAACAGTGTAAAAACATTCCTATTTCTCCACATCCTCTCCAGCATCTGTTGTTTCCTGACTTTTTAATGATCATCATTCTAACTGGTGTGAGATGGTATCTCATTGTGGTTTTGATTTGCATTTCTCTGATGACCAGTGATGATGAGCATTTTTTCATGTGTCTGTTTGCTGCATAGATGTCTTCTTTTGAGAAGTGTCTATTCATGTCCTTTGCCCACTTTTTGATGAGGTTGTTTGATTTTTTCTTGTGAATTTGTTTAAGTTCTTTGTAGATTCTGGATATTAGCCCTTTGTCAGATGGGTAGGTTGCAAAAATTTTCTCCCATTCTGTAGGTTGCCTGTTCACTCTGATGGTAGTTCCTTTTGCTGTGCAGAAGCTCTTTAACTAGATCCCATTTGTCTATTTTGGCTTTTGTTGCCATTGTTTTTGGTGTTTTAGTCATGATGTCCTTGCCCATGCCTATGTCCTGAATGGTATTGCCTAGGTTTTCTTCTACGGTATTTATGGTTTTAGGTCTAACATTTAAGTCTTTAATCCATGTTGAATTAATTTTTGTACAAGATATAAGGAAGGGATCCAATTTCAGCTTTCTATATATGGCTAGCCAGTTTTCCCAGCACCATTTATTAAATAGGGAATCCTTTCCCCATTTCTTGTTTTTGTCAGGTTTATCAAAGATCAGATGGTTGTAGAGGTGTGGTGATATTTCTGAGGGCTCTGTTCTGTTCCATTGGTCTATATCTCTGTTTTGGTACTAGTACCATGTTGTTTTGGTTACTGTAGCCTTGTAGTATAGTTTGAAGTCCGGTAGCATAATGCCTCCAGCTTTGTTCTTTTTGCTTAGGATTGTCTTGGCAATGCAGGCTCTTTTTTGGTTCCATATGAACTTTAAAGTAGTTTTTTCCAATTCTGTGAAGAAAGTCATTGGTAGTTTGATGGGGATGGCATTGAATCTATAAATTACCTTGGGCAGTATGGCCATTTTCACCATATTGATTCTTCCTATCCATGAGCATGGAATGTCCTTCCATTGTGTCCTCTTTTATTTCATTGAGCAGTGGTTTGTAGTTCTCCTTGAAAAGGTCCTTCACATCCCTTGTAAGTTGGATTCCTAGGTATTTTATTCTCTTTGAAGCAATTGTGAATGGGAGTTCACTCATGATTTGGCTCTCTATCTGTTATTGGTGTATAGGAATGCTTGTGATTTTTGCTCATTGATTTTGTATCCTGAGACTTTGCTGAAGTTGCTTATCAGCTTAAGGAGATTTTGGGCTGAGATGTTGGGGTTTTCTAGATATATAATCATGTCATCTGCAAACAGGGACAATTTGACTTCCTCTTTTCCTAATTGAATACTCTTTATTTCTTTCTCTTGCCTGATTTCTCTTGCTCCTATGTTGAATAGGAGTGGTGAGAGAGGGCATCCCTGTCTTGTGCTATTGTGGGAAGTCAGGGACGCCGAATGGAGGGACCGACTGGAGCTGTGGCAGAGGAACATAAATTGTGAAGATTTAATGGACATTTATCAGTTCCCAAATAATACTTTTATAATTTCTTATGCCTGTCTTTACTTTAATCTCTTAATCCTGTTATCTTCATAAGCTGAGGATGTACATCGCCTCAAGACCACTGTGATAATTCTGTTAAGTGTACACATTGATTGTAAAACTTGTGTGTTTGAACAATATGAAATCAGTGCACCTTGAAAAAGAACAGAATAACAGTGATTTTTAGGGAACAAGGGAAGACAACCATAAGGTCTGACTGCCTGCAGGGTCAGGCAAAAAGAGCCATATTTTTCTTTTTGCAAACAGCCTATAAATGGACGTGCAAGTAGGGAAGATATCACTAAATTCTTTTCCTAGCAAGGAATATTAATATTAATACCCTGGGAAGGGAATGCATTACTGGGGTGAGGTCTATAAACGGCCGCTCTGGGAATGTTTTTCTTATGTGGTTGAGATAAGGGCTGAGATACACCCTGGTCTCCTGCAGTACCCTTGGGCTTACTAGGGTGTGGAAAAACTCCACTCTGGTAAATTTGTGGTCAGACCAGTTCTCTGCTTTCGAACCCTGTTTTCTGTTGTGTAAGATGTTTATCAAGACAGTACGTGCACCGCTGAACATAGACCCTTATCAGTAGTTCTGCTTTTGCCCTTTGCCTTATGATCTTTGTTGGACCCTTATCAGTAGTTCTGCTTTTGCCCTTTGTCCTGTTCCCTCAGAAGCATGTGATCTTTCTTAGACCCTTATTAGTAGTTCTGCTTTTTGCCCTTTGAAGCATGTGATCTTTGTACCTATTCCCTGTTCTTACACCCCCTCCCCTTTTGAAATCCTTAATAAAAATTTGCTGGTTTTGAGGCTCAGGCAGGCATCACGGTCCTACTGATATGTGATGTCACCCCTGGCGGCCCAGTTGTAAAATTCCTCTCTTTATACTGTCTCTCTTTATTTCTCAGCTGGCTGACACTCATGGAAAATAGAAAGAACATACACTGAAGTATTGGGGGCAAGTTGCCCCAATATTGTGCCAGTTTTCAAAGGGAATGCTTCCAGTTTTTGCCCATTCAGTATGATATTGGCTGTGGGTTTGTCATAAATAGCTCTTATTACCTAGTTTATTGAGAGTTTTTAGCATGAAGCAGGGTTGAATTTTGTCGAAGGCCTTTTCTCCATCTATTGAGATAATCATGTGATTTTTGTTGTTGGTCCTGTTTATGTGATAGATTACGTTTATTGATTTGTGTATGTTGAACCAGTCTTGCATCCCAGGGATGAAGCTAACTTGATCTTGGTGGATAAGCTTTTTGATGTGCTGCTGGATTCGGTTTGCCAGTATTTTATTGAGGATTTTTGCCTTGATGCTCATCAGGGATATTGGTCTAAAATTCTCTTTTTTGTTGTGTCTCTGCCAGGCTTTGGTATCAGGATGATGCTGGCCTCTGTCTTCTGCATCAATCACGCTGGGAGCTGCAGATGGGAGCTGTTCATATTCAGCCATCTTGGAATGGACTCCCAGTGAGGGAATAGTTTCTAGCAGCCAAAAGATTACATCCTGCTGAAGGTTCAGAAAATTGTTAGCATTTTGTAACAAAAAATGTTTAAATTAAGATATGTATATTGTTTCCTTAGACAGATACTATTGCTTACCTAATATAAAATAGTGTAAACATAATTTTTACATACAGTTGAAATTTAAAAATTTATGTGATTCATTTTATTGTGGTATTTGCTTTATGTTGGTGGTCTGGAATGTGACTTTTAATAGCTATAAAATATGCCTGTGTTTTATATCTTGTTTATCTCTTGTCAGAATTTTTGACTAAATGTTATTTCGTCTGATTCTAGTACAGCTATCACACCTTTTCTTTGGTTACTATTTTCTTAAAATACTTATTGTTGTCCTTCATGTTCACACTATTTATGTCCTCCTCTAAAGGAAGTTTCTGATTCAGAACATATAGTTGCATCCTGGATTTTTTAAAACCCATTCTGCAAATTGTCCTTTTGATGTGGAAATTTAAGCCATTTACATTTAATGTACACTTATGAAACACATAGCAAAGCACATTAAGATATCATTTTACACAAGTGAGAATGACTATTCTTAAAATGTCAAAAAACAACAGATATTGGTGTGGATTCATCAGGGATGTTAATCATGGATCATGCAAACTGGAATACAGTGGTATGACCTTGGCTCACTGTAGCCTCTGCCTCCCAGGTTGAACTTATCTCCTGCCTCAGCCTCTTGAGTAGCTGGAATTATAGGCATTTGCCACCACACGTGGCTAATTTTTGTATTTTTGGTAGAGACGAGGTTTCGTCATATTCGCCAGGCTGGTCTTGAACACTGGATCTCAAGTGATCCACCTACCTCAGCCTCCCAAAGTGCTGGGATTACGGGTGTGAGCCAACGTGTCTGGCCCAATCATTACATTCAAATTTGCCCTCCAAAGAGAGACACAAGTAAAAATTAAGGCATGTGAGGATTATTCACCAATTTATTGTAATTAGATTCCAGTTTTATGAATAACATTTAACAGGATCACAAATTATGTAAAATAGTTACCAGTTTTTTGGAACATTACCTTTGATAGTTTCTTATAAAACTATGTGAAAGATACAAATACTATAAGGCACTGTTTCCATATTACAAATGATGTCCAAAGACCAGACATTGTTAATTAATACTCCAATAAACATCATGTCATAATTTCTGCATTTTCTTTTTCCTTTGAACCCTTGTCAGGATTACAACATCATCAGGACTGCATTTTCATCAGGAATGAATATTCCTTCTACAATGCAAAGAAAAAAAACCCAAAATATTTGCTGATGGAAAGGTAAAAGGAGAAATTTTCTTTGGTTTTAATGTTTAACTTTTTTATTGTCACCTGTTAAAAAATGCTTACTAGTCATTCCTTTAGCATCATGTGAGAGAAAGATGTACAATGATTGATCATTTATATGACATAAAATAAAGATGAAACATCATCACGGCATGAACAAAAACGAGACTTGTTGCTGGAGTTGTTTTATAGTCCAACATATGATAATTAATCATTCTATAAATCTATTGGAGGAATTTATGAGATAGACAGATGATAGATGATAGATAGATAGATGATAGATGATAGATAGATAGATAATAGATAGCCAGATAGATAGATAGATAGATAGATTCCAGATGGAAAATTTTACTTTAGTAAGAAAATAATAATTTTATTCTGACTATATTAAAATGTACTTAAGAATTCTCTTTGATAAAAAACAAGTGCACTGGATTCAATTTTCTTCATAGCCTGTGTAATACACCATCACTTGCCTCTTCCTACATGACATTGGTCAGCCCCAGACAGTGGGCAGTGTAGCATTGCCTGCCCATTGTTTATACAACCTGTGAATATAAATGCTGGATGTTGAAGAAGGAAACCGTGTCTGCTTAGCGAAAGGAATGACATTCAATGGATCCCAAATATCAGTGTGTGGAGCTAAATGATGGTCATTTCATGCCTGTATTAGGATTTGGCACCTGTGTACCTCCAGAGGTAACATAATCATATTTTCAGTGTTGGGCATTTAAAAGAGCAAAGCTAGAATAAGTAGATGACTTGGGTTTTAGCTTTGTGTTCCTGTGTTACTCTGCGTGACTCACCTGGTCTGTTTTAATAGGCCAGAGCTATTCCATGTTCAAAGAGAAAAGGTAGTCAATCTTTGTTCTGCATTGGGGTCTGGTCATATGGTCGTGTACTGCTTACTTTTATTTTGTGCACTGTTTTTTTCTTCTGTTTATGGGTGTTCCCAGCTTTGCAGAATATTTAAAACTCAAGAGTGAAGAACGCTGCCTGGCATTTCCTTTTGTAGGTGATTGACTGCAGTGGAATGGTTTCTCCGTTTCTTTCTATAATTGAAGAAATTGTTTGTTCTTCCAAGTATACATGATCGAACAAAATCTTTGTGGTAACAGTGTCTGGAGACGGGGTGTATGAAAACTCTTAGGGAGAGTATTGCTGAGCTGCTGTGTGGCCTTGAGCATGACAGAGTAATAATACTGGTCTTGGACTTAATACAAGTTCCCATGTACAACTTTCACCTCTAGGAAAATTAAAAGGAAAAATAACTTTAAGAAAAAACTAGAACCTCGAAGGAGAAATTTTAGATTTTTGGTCCATGTTAATATGCATCAGATTTGTATCAAAATGGTATGGATGGTCCCCTGACATGAAAGTAGGCAAAATGGAGACTTTATTTTCTAGACTGAACTATTTCTATACTGGAAGAAAACGTGTATTCCAAGGCTACTAAGTGCTTGAATAAGGACTAGTCATATAAAATTTGTCTCACTTTTCTCAACTGTACATTGTAAGAATTTACAGAGAGACATCTTGAAGACCATCAACACTAGCGGTTTACTTTGTAATGAAAATTGGCATGAGGGGGAAGTAAGGAAAAGCACAACATGGAAGCTTTAGCCTTGGTAAACCTTGAGTGCCTCCACAGCAAAGAGAAGATCAGGGCTGGTATCAGGGGAAGGCAGTGAGACCTGGCATCTAGTTCCTTTTAATATCATTGAAAATAGAAAGCTTCTGAAATACTCATATTAAAATAGAAAATTGTTCTATTCATGGCTTTGTTGTTTAAAAAATGTACCTTTCAAATCTTCATCCAAATTTGGTAGATAAATCAATAATTTTAAATTTCACTGAAATTATATCTTTCCTAAAAAAGTTGTCCTTATTTTTTAAGACTAAAATATACTTTACTAATCTTTTACAGGTTGCAGTTAATTTCTTATGTATAAATCTACATCCTTGGAGTGTATGTCTTTACTCGTCATATTTACTTCTGTCATGCACACAGAATGGCTAATGGCTGTGTAGAAAGGAGTGAACACAACAGACTGCCACCCGTAGATGTACCTGTTTTCAAAGTTGGAGGCCAGAATTTCTCACCATTTCCTAACTAATAAGGGTGCTGTCTATAATTAACTGCTTGTACAAAGTGTGGGGTTTCTACATATCTGCTTTGTTTACAAGACTTGGAGTTTTGTGTGTGGTACACAGACTGGGTCAATGTAATCAGTACCCAGGTAAATCTTGGGAATGAAGTGTCCAAATAGCATCCCTTGTAGACAACATTTCCCCTATATTCTCAAAATGTGATGCTGGAGGAAGTCAGTGTGTTTTGTGCAACATCACTGAGAGAGGAATCATAGGAACTTGCACTGTATTCTTCCTGTAGTTCCTTCCATGTGCCTTCTTCCATGTGTTAATTTCACTATATTAAAAATAATTAGGAGGCTTCCTGCAGTGGCTCACGCCTGTAATCGCAGCATTTTGGGCGGCAGAGGCAGGTGGATCCCTTGAGTTTGGGAGCTTGAGCCTGGGCAACATAGCGAAACCCCGTACCTACCAAAAATACAAAAATTTAACTGGCATAATAGCGCGCATCTGTGGTCCTAGCTATTTGGGGAGACGGAGGTGAGAGGATTGTTTCAGTCCGAGATGAAGTGGGGGAGGGGCAGAGTTTTCAGTGAGCTGAGATTGTGCCACTGTACTCTAGCCTGGGTGACAGAGTGAGACTCTGTCTCAAATAATAATAGTAATAATAAAGACTATATTTATAACTGTAATTTGAGTCTTGTTAATTTGTCCAACAAATGACTGAATCTGAGGTTGTTCTTGGGAAACTCATTGCTAGTGATCAACCAGGAATTACCTGGGATTGAAGAGGTCCAGGGATACCCAACATTTATTACTAAGCAGGAAAGACTAAAGCAAATTGGGATGGATTTATCACCCCATATATAGAACTAACCCAAGATGCAAGAATAATGTGATTTTTGTGAGGGTCATTGTTTGTGCCTGAACTACCTGTTGAGCACATTGATCACCAAATACTACTTTTCATTACTCCTCCGGGTTCCTAGGAATAGAGTTGTGGAGGTTACAAAATTAGCAATAGAAGCTGGTTTCTTCCATATTGATTCTGCTCATTTATACAATAATGAGGAGCAGGTTGGACTGGCCATCTGAAGCAAGATTGCAGATGACAGTGTGAAGAGAGAAGACATATTCTACACTTCAAAGGTACTGTGCCTATGATAAGCATGCATGCACATGTATTTAATGTGATAGTGTGGAGATGACAATTCTGTAACTGGATCTGTAGGTGGGTGAATTGTGCTTATTGGTTCCAATTTATTGACACATATTCATGTATTAAAACTAAAATAAAAGGCGGCAAATGATGATGTCTTTCTCATCATTGTTGTGTTCAAATTTGTTACTTGAAAATCACTTTACTTTTTTGAGCCACAGCTCAGATCAGTAAAATATTTTTTATGCGCTCATTTTTTAATTTCAATGGCTTTTGTGGTACAAGTGGATTTTGGTTACATGAATGAATTCTATAGTGATGATTCTGAGATTTAAGCGAGCCCATCAGGCCATCAGTGGACACTGTACTCAATATGTAGGCTTTTATCCCTCACCTTACTCCCAACCTCCCCCAACACTGAGTCCTGAAAGGCCATTATATCATCTGTATGTCTTTACATCCTCATAGCTTAGTTCCCACTTATAAGTGAGAAGGTACTGTGTTTGGTTTTCCATTCCTGAATTACTTAGAATAATGGCCTTAATCTCCATCCAAGTTGCTACAAAAGACATTATTTCAATCCTTTTTACATATACACCATTCTATGATGTACATATAACACATTTTCATTATTCATGCATTGGTCAACGGACTCTTAGGTTGGTTTTATATTTTTGCAATTGTGAATTGCACTGCTATACACGTGTGTGCATGTGTCTTTTTCATGCAAGCTTTTCTTTTTGATAGATGCCAGTAGTGGGACTGATGGATCAAATGGCAGATCTACTTCTGAGTTCTTTGAGGAATCTCCATACTGTTTTCCATAGGAGTTTTACTCATTTACATTCCCACCAGCAATGTAAAAGTGTTCTCTTTTCACTACATTCATGCCAACTTCTACTGTTTTTGTTTTTTTTTTTACTTTTAAATTATAACCATTCTTGCAGGAGTAAGGTGGTGTCTCACTGTGGTTTTAATTTGCACTTCCCTGATTATTAGTAATGTTGAACCTTTTTTCATATGTTTGTTGGCTGTTTGTATATCTACTTTTGAGAAATGTCTATTCGTGTCATTTGCCCACTTTTGGATGGGATTATTTGTTTTTATCTTGCTGACTTGTTTGAGTTCCTTGGAGATTCTGGACAATAGTCCTTTGATGGAAGCGTAGTTTGCAAAAATTTTCTCTCATTCTGTAGGTTGTCTCTTTACTCTCATGATTATTTCTTTTGCTGTGCAGAATTATTTTAGTTTAATTAGGTCCCATTTATTTATTTTTGTTTTTTGTGCATTTGCTTTTGGGGGTCTTAGAGATAAATTCTTTGTCGAGGCCAATGTAAGGAAGAGTTTTTCCAATGTTATCTTCTAGAATTTTTATGGTTTCAGGTCTTAGACTTAAGTTTTTGATCCATCTTGAGTTGATTTGTGTATAAGGAGAGATGGTATCCAGTTTCATTCTTCTACATGTGGCTTACCAGTTATCCCAGCACCATTTATTGAATAGAGTCTTTTCCCCAATTTATGTTTTTGTTTGCTTTATCAAAGATCAGTATTTGACTTCATTTCTGGGTTCTCTATTTTGTTTCATTTATCTAAATGCCTATTTTTATATTAATACTATGCTCCTTTCCTAACTACAGCCTTCTAGTATAATTCAAAGTCTGGTAATGTACTGCCTCCAGATTTCTTCTTTTTGCTTAGTATTGCTTTGGTTATTGTGGCTCTTTTGTGGTTCCATATGAATTTAGAATATGGCCATTTTCAGAGTATTGATTCTATCTGTAAGCATGGGATGTTTTTCCATTTGTTTGTCTTATGTATCATTTCTTTTAGCAGTGTTTTATAGTTTTCCTTGTAGAGATGTTTCATCTCTTTGATTAAATATGTTCCTAGGGATTTTATTTTATTTTATTTACAGCTGTTGTAAAGGGCTTGATTTCTTAATTTGACTCTCAGCATGGTTGTTGCTGGTTTATGGCAGAAATCAATTTCTGTACATTGATTTTGTAACCTGATACTTTACTGAATTTGTTTATCAAATCTAGGAGACTTTTGGATGAGTCTTTAGGGTTTTGTAGGTATATGATTATATTATTGGCAAACAGCAATACTTTAACTTCCTCTATTCAAATTTCAATGCCCTTTCTTACTTTTTCTTTCTTGATTTCTCTGGCTAGGACCTCCAGGATTAAGTTTAATATTAACAGAAGTGGTAAAATTGAGCATCCTTGTCTTGAACCAGTTCTCAGGGGAATGTTTTAAACTTTTCTCCATTCAGTATAATGTTGGCTTTGGGTTTGTCATATATGGCTTTTATTATTTTCAGGGAAGTCCCTTTTATGTCTAGTTTGTTGAGGGTTTTAATCATAAAGCAATGGCGGATTTTACCAATTGCTTTTTTTGCATCTATTGAGATAACCATATGGTTTTTCTTTTTTAATTCTCTTTGTGTTATATATCATATTTATTGACTTGCCTATGTTATACCATCCCTGCACCCTTGGGATGGAACCCACTTGATCATGATGTATTATCTTTTTGATATGCTGATGCATTTGGTTAGCTAGTATTTTCTTGAGGATTTTTTTAATCTATGTTCACCAGGGATATTGGCCTATAGTTTTCTATTTTTGTTATGTCCTTTCCTCGTTTTGGTATTAGGGTGATACTGGCTTCACAGAATAATTTAGGCAGAGTTCCGTCTCTCTCTATCTTTTTGAATATTTTCAGTAGGATTCGTACCAACTTCTTTTTGAATGTCAAGTAGAATTCTGCTGTGAATCCATCTGATCCTTGGCTTTTTTTGTTGGCAATTTTTTATTACTGATTCATTCTTGGTGCTTGTTATTGGTCTGTTCTGGTTTTCTATTTCTTCCTGATCTAATCTAAGAAGGTTGTATGTTTCTAGGAATTTATCCATTTACTCTAGATTTTACAGTTTGTGCACATAAAGGTGTTCTTAGTTGTCTTGAATGATTTTTTGTATTTCTGTGATATCATTTGTAATGTGTCCAGTTTCATTTCTAATTGAGCTTACTTGGATCTTCTCTCCTTTTCTTGGTTAATCTCACTAATGGTCTATCAAGTTTCTTCATCTCATCAAAGAACCAGCTTTATCTTTCATTGATCTTTTGTGGGGGTGTTTTGTTTCAATTTCATTTAGTTCTGTTCTGATATTATTTCTTTTCTTCAGATATCTTTGGGTTTAGTTAGTTCCTATTTCTCTAGTACATAGAGGTGTGATATTAGGTTGTCAATTTGTGCTGTTTCAGACTTTTAGATGTAGGCATTTAATGATATGAACTTGCCTCTTAGCACTGCTTTTGCTATATTCCAGAGGTCTTCATTGTGTCACTATTATAATTTATTTCAAAAAATTACTTAATTGCCATTTTGATTTTATTGTTAACCCAAAATCATTCAAGAGCAGATTATTTAATTTCCATGTATTTGTATAGTTTTGAGGGTCCCTTTCAGAGTCAATTTCTAGTTTTATTCCACTGTGTTCTGAGAAGATACTTGATGTAATTTGGATTTTCTCAAGTTTAATGAGACTTGTTTTGTGGCCTATCATATCGTCTATCTTGGAGAATGTTCCATGTGCTGATAAGAATGTATGTTCCGCAGTTGGCGGGTAGAATGTTCTGTAAACATCTGTTTAGTAATTTTTTTCTATAGTATGTTAAATCCATTGTTTCCTATTTACTTTCTGCCTTGATTATCTGACTAGTGCTGTACAGTGGAGTATTGAGTCCCTCACTATTAGTGTGTTGCTATCTCATTTCTTAAGTCTGCTAGTAATAGTTTTATAAATCTGGGAGCTCCAGTATTAGGTGCATATAAATTTAAGATTGTAATATATTCTTGCTGGATTGATTCTTTTATCATTATATAATTATTTTCTTTGTCTTTTTTTTTAACTGCTGTTGCTTTAAAGTCTGTTTTGTCTGATATAAGAGTAGCAACTCCTGAATACTTTTGGTTTCCATTTGCATGGAATCTCTTTTCCCACCTTTTTAACTTGAGCTTATCCAAATCTTTATGTGTTAGGTGAGTCTCTTGAAGATAGCAGGTATTTGGTTTGTGATTTATTATCCATTCTGCCATTCTGTGTCTTCTAAGTGGAGCATTTAGGCCATTTATGTTCAATGTTAATATTCAGATGTGAGGTACAGTTCTTTTCATCATTTCAATTGTTACCTAAATACTTTTGGTTGCTGTTGTTGTGTTATTGTTTTATAGGATTTGTGAGTTTTATGCTTTCAGGAGGTTCCATTGTGGTGTATAACAGTCTTTTGGTTGAAGATTTAGAACTCCTTATAGCATGCCTTGTAGAACTGGTTTGATAATGTCAAATTCCTTCATCATTTGTTTTTCTAAAAATGACTGTATTTCTCCTTCAATTATGAAATATAGTTTTGCTGGATACAAAATTTCTGGCTGACAGTTATTTTGTTTAAGAAGGCTAAAGATAGGACCTCAATCCCTCCTAGTTTGTGAGGTTTCTGCTGAGAAGTCTCCTGTTAGTCTGATAGATTCTTCTTTATGTTACCTGATGCTTTTTTCTCACCTCTCTTAGGATTATTTCCTTCATGTTGACTTTAGATAGACTCATGACTATGTGACTTGGTGGTAATATTTTTGCAATGAATTTCCAAGGAGTACTTTGAGCTTCTTCTATTTGGATATCTAAATCTCTAGCCAGGCCAGGGAAGTTTTTCTCAATTATTCTCTCAGGTAAGTTTTCCAAACTTTTAGACTTCTCTTCTCCCTCAGGAACACCAGTTATTCTTAGGTTTGGCTGTTTTACATAATCTCATATTTCTTGGATAATTTGTTCATTTCTTTTTTTTTTTTTTTTTTTTTTTTTTTGACAGAGTCTTGCTTTGTTGCCCAGGCTGCTGGAGTGCAGGTGCATGATCTTGGCTCACTGCTGCAACCTCCTCCTCCCAGGTTAAAGCGATTCTCCTGACTCAGGCTCCTGAGTAGCTGGGATTACAGGCACATGCCAGCATGCCAGGCTAATTTTTATATTTTTAGTAGAGACTGGGTTTCACCATGTTGGCCAGGCTGATCTTGAACTCCTGACCTCAAGTGATTCACCCAGCTTGGCCTCCCAAAGTGCTGGGATTACAGGTGTGAGCCACCCATCCAGCCTGATCCTTTTTTCTTATTGTCTGATTGGGTTAATTCAAAAGCCTTGTCTTTGAGCTCTGAAATTCTTTCCTTTACTTGTTCTAGTCTATTGTTGAAACTTTCCACTGCATTTTGTATTTCCCTAAATGTGCCTTTCATTTCCAGAAGTTCTGATTGGTTTTTCTTTGTGATATCTATCTCTCTGGAAAATTTTTCATTTATATCCTGAATTTTTTTAAAAAAAAATTTTAGGTTGTTTTTCACCTTTCTGTGATATCTTGTTGAGTAGCTTAATAATGAACCTTCTAAATTCATTATCTGGTATTTTAAATATTTTATCTTAGTTTGGATTTATTGCTGGGGAGCTAGTGTGATCTTTTTGGGGTGATTTGGGTGACCCCAGGGTTTTGGGATGACAAAATCTTGTTTGGTCATATTACCATAATTACTTTTCTGATGTCCTCTCATTTTGATAGACTACTTCTTCTACTTGTTCTTGAATTTATTTTTGATTTCCCTGTTTTTCTTTAATGTCTTTTTTCCCTTTTAAGGAACTGACTTTAATGTTTATAGTTTATAATAGCCTAATTGGGTTCTTAGTGCTATTAGGTGTGAAGAGTTATATGAGTTCCTTGGTTATAGAGAGTCTTTGTATCATGGCTTCCTCAGATGCTGGTTGTAGTAGCTATATACTCAGTGTGTGGGCAAGTTCACTGTCTCCTATGGGGTTGGAATGGCAGCAGTCTCTTGAAGCTTATCTTATTCTCCTGTTGTGTGCACTTTTTTATTTATTCAATTTTTTCCCAGTATTTTATTTATAGAGTTTATTTTATTTATTGAGTATCCCCTACCCAGGGATACCACCCCAGGCCAGTAGAGGTGGTATCTCTGGATAGGAACCATTTGTAGTTAAAGTAGGTAGATAAATGAAGTACCCAATGTGGTTGGGAGAGCTCTCAACTGGATTCCCTATCTTATCAACGTAAAGGGGGGAAGCTACCTCAGCTCCCATACCAGGTTGACAGGAAAGCTATGCACTTCCCAGCCTCACTCTTGTCCCAGTGTTCTGAATCTTGAGATCAGACAGGTACCTCTTTTCATCTGTAGAAATGTTGATGTTACAAGTAGGGAGAAATTGTGACTGCCTCTCATGCAAGCCTGAACCTGGGGAGTGCTCCTCCTGTGGGGATGCAGTCATTCTGAAGTGTTCCAGGAAAGCTGTGTATAGGTGTACCCATGCAGAGCTTCTTTAGGAGAAGCCCTAGCTATGTCTGCATTGATGGACAAGGGGGGAAAGAAGACCCCTTCTCCAAGACCCTTCATGAGCACCAAGGCCATTTGACTGTTGGTGGTAGAGGTTTAGACTTTCCCTACTGAATCTAGCACTGAAATTGTGTCTCTGCTGAAAGAAACTTCCCACCAGTGTAAAGATCTGGAACTCAAGTCCTGCTATCTGGATATTTTTGTGCTACGGGATGTTGTCTTGATGTGACGCTCCTTCCATTACACTAGGAGTAGAAGATCCTGAGAGCCAGACTACAGTGATAGATTGCTATTGCTCTTCTGGGTCTAGCCACCCAGTGGGGTTGCCCAACTCTGGGCTAGTGCTGGGGAATATTGGCAAGGGATCCTGTGATGTGACCTGTCTTCATGTCTCCCAGCAGTGGGTACCAGCACCAGCTCTCATGATGGTGTCAAGGAAGTGACATAGACTCTGTGAGATTCCTTGGTTACAGATAGCCATTTTGTGTTGGCTTTCTCAAATGCTGGATATAATAGTAGTGAACATGTCTCAGGGACAGGCTCAGGACTTCTTGTTAGTCAGGTAGTTGCAGGCAACAGGGACAGCTGAGATTACAAACAAGTTTTCTTCTTCCTGGGTGCAATGTTATTCTACCCAGGGATGCTGTAATGAACTGTGTTGGTTGGTTTCCAGCTCTTGCAAAAGAGCACCGGCTGTGAGATTTGAGCTTGCCTTATGTTGCCCTAGGGGAGGTATTCTGGTTTCTCAGGTGACAGGCAGGGTCACAGAGTTCCCAAAAGTTTATGTCCTTTGTGTTAAGCTACCAGGGTGGGTAGCTTTCAAAGCTAGCATAGGAATGAAGATATTCTCCCAGTAACAGTACAACTGTTATATCTAAGGAAGTACCAATAATGACCTCAGATTATTTAATACCCCATCTGTATTGAGATTTACCATTGTTTCCTTGAATGGTCTTTTATAACTCTTATTTTTAACCATAAACAGCAGATGAAAAAAATTAATGATACCATATAATATAAAAAGATATTAAGTACCAAAAGTATACCTAATAAAAGATGTGTACAACTTCTACAGAGAAAATTATACAACAATGAGAGATGTTAAATAAGTGGTAAATAAATATAAGATGTATCGTGAAAACAAAAAAAAATCCAATTGTGATTTTCATCTTACTGTATTTTGATAAGTTAACTTTTTTTTTTTACGTTTTCAAAAGGTACTTTTCTGTAAATTAGAAGTTATACTTGAATGCTTTATGTCATCGAGGTTAAACATTTTTGGAGATAAACTGTCTCTACCTTGCTGTATCCCTGAAATTACACCGCAGTAGGCAGCATGAAATGACAGATTGCCCCACAATTAGTCATGCTAATTTTGATCACTTGGTTAAGTTAATGGTGGCCAGATCTAATCTTCATAGAGATGTGTTTTCCCCTTTGCAATTACTAGTAATCTGCTGGATGATAATTATCAAGAGGTAAAGTTATATTCCACAACATATTTCCACATAATGATTGAGTATATAGCAATGATGTTTTAATTTTTTGTATTGTTTACAATTGTTACAATTGTATTGTTTAAAATTTAATGTTTTAATTTTTTGTATTGTGTTATTATTTTATTATTGTATTTGTTCCTTCCTTGGGGCTTTAAAGTAATTACTTTCAATTTTAACTACTAGTTTTATTATTCTGACTTTACATTTTATTATGAAAAAAAGAATCCCTCACCAAGTCAAGAAAAGAAATAGTTATTCCTCTCAGAAGTGCTAAAAGCTTAACTCTTTCCCTTTAATTATTCATATCCTAGAAAGAAATTACTGCAATAATCACCATCAGTGGAGGCAAATATTTTTGCTCTCTCTTTTAATCTCTCATGACTATGAACCCATGAATTGTTTTTGCTATAATTTATGATTGATTTTACTTATTATTGTTTTTGATGTTCAAATCTATACAAACATTACTAGTAATATTCCTATAAAACTACTTATTTTGCATTTTAAACCTGGCCTCATGAGTCTTTGAAGAAATTTTTACTTTCTGGCACAATTTGATGTCCAAAGCTCAGAATCCTACCCTATCCCAGAGCTGGAATTGGCTGTGTGCCCTTCTAGTGGTCAAAGGTAGTTAGATACTGGATCTGGTCCATGGAGTTGCTTGTGCTCAGAAATGACATTTCTATGTATACTTTTAGGAAACAGCAATATAAAATTTATTTTGATGGAAAAGATAATTAGTTGACAGTAATATTGTCAGTTCAAATTTGATGCTACACATATTTATTCACCTCCTTTTACTTTAATCTGTAATCTTTTTATATTAACATAACTGTTTCATATTATCTGATGTTTTTCTATCTTTGTCATCTGCAGGTGGAATGTCATCCTTACCTCAACCAGAGCAAACTGCTGGATTTCTGCAAGTCAAAAGACATTGTTCTGGTTGCCCACAGTGCTCTGGGAACCCAACGACATGAACTATGGTAATAAGAGCATCAGGAAGTTTACCTAAAATGCCATTTTGATGAAGTATTTTAATTATATGGTACTCTCTTTCCTGGAGTTTACTCTCAGTGAGTTAGGGTAAGGTGAGAATTTGCATTTCTGACGAGATCCCAGGTGATGCTGCTGCTGTTATTCAGGGGCCTCACTTGAGACGCTCTGGTGCAGAATGAACACCTTAGTCTGTTTAGGGAGCCGCCTAACAAACTGAATCCAGCCTCAGGGCTTCAGCATTTCTGGGTTTCCTTCCAGGGTGGACCAGAACTCACCAGTTCTTTTGGAGGACCCAGTTATTTGTGTCATGGCAAAAATGCACAAGTGATCCCCAGCCCTGATTGCTCTGTGCTACCAGCTGCAGCGTGGGGCTGTGGTCCTGGTCAAGAGCTCCAATGAACAGCAGATCAGAGAGAACATGCAGGTGAGGCGTTGGGTGGGCATTAGGACTCCTGCATGGTGTCCTTCACACATGTGCTTCCTGTAAGGTGAGAACAGGATACTGTTGGACTAAGTCCATTTCCTGGTTATTTCCTATGCACAAATGCTTTCTGTACATCCTAAAGGTTTTCTACTCTACCACAGAAGAGGCAGCATGGGTGGAGAGAATTAGGATGGAACCAAAACCAGAGATTTGGGTTTCAACATTAAGTTGGCAATTTATTATGCATTCCTGTGCTAGCGACATCTGCTTTTCTTGATTTTCTGAAATGAGGAGTTGGATTAGGTGTTCTCTAGTCTCCAAATCATTGCTGATTTTTTTCATTTCCTTCTTTACTCAGTATGAATTTCATATATTCTCTTAGAGTTTTCTTTATAGTAGTACCTGTTAAAGTCTTTGGGTATTTTTATTAGTTTGCTTGTCTCTTTCTATGTGTAGAACACCATAATTATACTAATATGTTTGCCCCAGAAAAAGCATTTCCTGATCAACTGTTCTACTTGCTCACCTCATGACCCCTGAATACTGTCTATTTGCAGCTGTGTTTGCTTGTCGTTATAAAAAATGTTTTCTGACTGATCTTTGAGACACATAGATGTTATGCTCAGAGTCCTACCCTTTGAATAAATTTCTCTTGCTTAAGTCTAGGTTGGTTTCTTGAATGGGATTGTTCCGTGTTTTAAGGGTTGCTCAGTCTAAGGCTGGATCAAGTTCCCGGGGAAGTGGGGAAACAAGAGCCTGACCAAGTGTGGTCAAGTCCAGGTGGCAGGTATTGTGTCTACACTTTCTTTTCCATTTTAAAACAAGTGATTTCCTTTTTCTGTCTCAAGCAATTTTCTAGAAATATTTTAGATTGATGAGTGCACATCTTTCTTTTGAGAAGTGGTGCAGAATAGAAGAGGGGTGGGATGGAGAAGAGGCAGAGCTCAGGTGGAAGAGGTCCCAGGCCAGGTGCACCTGGAAGCCGATGAGGATAGAAATGCCTCCCCTAATGCCATCCTTGCCTTTGCCCCTTGCAAAGTCCTTGGATTCCCAGGTAGAAGCTGCTGTCCTGGGAAAGGTGAATGTGAGTATCGCCTGCCTTTCAGGTTTTTGACTTTGAGTTGACTCCAGAGGACATGAAAGCCATTGACAGCCTCAACGGAAATCTCCGACATGCTAAGTTACAATTTTAAGTGATGCAGATTCTTTCACAGACCATTTTCTGCAGGATGCACAAAAACAGAGGGACACATCTTTCCTACATCAGGAAGACAGGCCTGAATTCAGGCATGGGGTGAAACAGGAGATTCACTGTAGCCCTCAGACCATAGGTTTCCTCCACGGCTCAATTTCTGACCCAACAGGAATGTTGGTCTGTAAGTAACACTGCCTATGTCTGCACCATTGTGAATCACTTTTTTTGATGCCCTCACTACCTGTGCCTGGGTCCTACGCTTTGGACGCTCTTACCCATTAGACTAGAAGGCACAGGGCTGTCTTAATTTATGCTAAAAAAAGAAAAATTAATATGATAACAAATATGTAATAATGACTCAAACCTGGTCCCTCTTTGTGTCTCCACCGAGGCAACGTAAGACATAATTTTAATATTTTTATGGAGATGGGCCCAGGTAGGTAAATGTGCGTAGGTCCTAGGGAAGTCACAGTGGGCCCTGCTTCCATGTCCTCCCGTAAGAGTCCAGTGGCATTTCTCCTTAATGTGGCATTACCTTTTCAGGACACCATTTATATCTCCCAAATTTATGTCTTCCTTGGCTTTCTTCGCCTGTCACAACTCTCATTTTCTCAGCTCTATAAATCTCACCAACCTGAATGATAAATGAATTATGAAATTAATAGACCCTCAGTGCTAGTGACTGAGGTGTCCCCTATGGCCTCTACCAAGATAAGATCCTCTGGAGTTTCTCTGGATCCTCAGGGCAAGACTCTTACTCCAGTGTCATCTTTGTCCATCTGAAGCCCATCTCTGGGGAACCCAACATCCCTTAACTTTGGTTTGTTCACAAACATGACGTTCCATTGGATTAACTGTGGCAGGATCTCAGGATTGAGGAGAAAGAAGAGGAATCAAACACAAAGAAGTTTGGAGGGGAGTGTAGAAATAGGGAAAAAATGAAATTTTTTATGTGTGTTTGCACCCGACAGAGATTTTATATGCAAAAATCAAAAAAAGAAAAGCCTCTATGTCGTTTTATGCTTCACTTAAAAAAAAACCTGGATTGTTGTAGAGCATATTAACTTAAAATTCTATTTATAATCCCTTGATTCATTATATTACTTATACATTACATATATAATATCATAATTAGCATGGCTTGGAAATATATGCTCATTTTGCTGCTTAGCAATGTAATAGCATCATATTTTCCACTTCTACACTCCAAACTGGTAGAATAATTACCAAAAACTAAAATAAAATAAAAATATGACTATTTCAGAAATAGGGAAAAAATTTTAATTATGAGAATAGAGATTCAGTCCCCCCCAAAAATATGTGAACAGTCTCTCTTCTTTTTGTGAAACCATACCAGGATTCTGAGAGAAGACATTTTTGAACGAACAAAAATGTGGGAAGTGACTTTTACATACTGAAAGGCTTTAAGTAGAAATCTGTGGCCTCCCTCATGAGAGTGTTTAGACTTGTCTTACTCATCTCTGTGACCCTATTCAATATCACAGCTCCTGGCACACTAACTACTGAAAAGGTACTCATTATTCACATTCAGTTGGAAAGGACAAATTATAAAAATGAAAAAAAAGAACACGGGAAAAGGAAAACAAATAATACTACTATTACTGAATAACAAGAATTCCTACAAGTAATCAAACAGTAATCACTTTTTGCTGAGACCAGCTTGATCGTGGAGACCCTAACCAGTGGCACTAGAGGAATTAAAGACACACACACAGAAATATAGAGTGTGGAGTGGTAATCAGGGGGCTGACAGCCTTCAGAGCTGAGAGCCACAGAGTCTTACCCACATATTTATCGACAGTAAGCCAGTGATAAGCATTGTTTCTATAGATTATAGATTAACTAAAATGGGAAACAAAGGGATGGGCTCTGGCTAGTTATCTGCAGCAGGAACATGTCCATAAGGCACAGATCGCTCATGCTATTGTTTGCGGTTTAAGATTGCCTTAAGTGGTTTTCTGCCCTGGGTGGGCCAGCTGTTCCTTGCCATCATTCCGGTAAACAAACAACCTTCAGTGTGGGTGTCATAGCCATCATGAGCATGTCACAGTGCTGCAGAGATTTGTTTATGGCTAGTTTTGGGGCCTGTCTATGGCCAGATTTGGGGGCCTGTTCCCAACAACTTTTTGCATGTCTAGATATTAGAGATACATGTTATGGGATGCTAGCAAACCCTCACTGTACCTTCGGAAAAACACTTGCATTCGCAGAGTGGGAAAAGAATTATAAATTAATATTCTTTTTTCTATTTCAATGCTGCTAATCACCCTTGTTATCCATTATCTGAAGAATATTGACCATGAGCTATTGAGTGATACTAGCAGAATTTCTTCCTTTTAGGCATCTTGGAGAGGATCTCTGTATTTGGTGAGGGGATTAGAAAGCAGAGTCTATAGTTTCTGTTCGCCTGCCTTTCACTTCTTCACTTTATGAAATAACAAAGATTTGAATATGAGGATGTTTGTTTTTCTAATTATTAAAAAGTGTGCATAAATAACATAAATATTTAGAAAATAGAAAAGATAGAGAACAAAAATAATGTGTAATTCATCCATTCCAGAATAATTTACATTTGGTGTATTTTTCTTCATAATTTTCCTATGCAAATATTTATGCTTGTTTTGTGCATTTTTACAATCATGAAATCATCTTCTACATGTAGATTATGTACTTTTATATATAACAGAAGTAACAAGTATTTTTCCAAGCTATCAAATATTATTCAAAAATTTCAAAATTTTACTGACTTTAAAGCAGTGCATCTCATTAATTTATTAAGATTCTTAATCATCTACCCATGTTCTGGCATGGTGTTAGTTCTTGCTTACTGTGCCATTCATTCATTTATTCATCTAGCAAAACTTTATTGAATATTCATTGTGTGCCAAACATTGTTTTACCAATAAATAGGCAAAAATGAAATAAAATGTAAATGCCTTGAGTTTATAGTCTGGTAGAGGATGTAGATTATGAATGAAACAAACCATGTAAGGAGTGTGTAATTGATCAAAATTGGTAAATGCCTATTGGGAGACCATTCTGCAAGGTCTTTCACATTTCCGCACATTTGATAAGTAGGGGGCACTGACTTCCCTGCATTCCACCTGTTTTTTTTTTTAAAGAAATTTATAGAGTGAACAGTGTTGGCATATAGAGATAGTATTTTTCTTCAAGGGAATGGAAGGCATGTTTACTGTCCAGTAATAGAAAGAAAACAAAATATCTCCCTCCAGTCAAATGGCAGCTATAGGGGCCAAGGGAAAACTTCCCCTTTGCTCTCTGATGTTTCACTAAAAATCAATTGATGATTGGCAGATTAATAAGAGAACCAACATACAACTCTATTAATGCCAGGACTCAGCAAACAATGCCCCAAATAAAGGCTTCAGAAGCAAAAGTTTTTCTATGAGCTTCTCTCGCCCTCTTATATGTCAATCCTCTTTTCCTCTAAACTAGTTACAGAAACTAGAATCTTTCTTCCCCAAGGTAGGTCATAGGAACCAGAATCCATTTTTCCCAAAGCCAGCCATAAAAACTAAAGATACTACTCTAACTTTCCCTCCACCTTTCTGTGTAAATTATGGCCATAACAATAATTATCTGACCTATCTTGTTTGACTCTAGGTCATAAGACTCCCATTTCACAGAAGGCCCTGCCCCACAGCCAGAAGGAAGGAATGCTACTTAGGCCAAGAAGAATCTAGACACATAGGTTGTACAAGACATAAAGTCAACAGAAATTACCTTGAAACTTTAAGTTTAATGTCTGCTTTGCTGGAATTCTGATTTCCATGAGTCCTGTTTCCCCTGTCCCTACCCCTGCCTTTTTTTGGTTAACTTCCCTTTTGAAAAAGGAATGTTTACCCACAATGGATAACATGGTTGTACTTTGGAAGTAAATAACTTATTTTTGACTTCATAGGCTCATAACTGGCAGGAAGTTGCCTTGAGTCTGATATGAATTTTTATACTTTGGAATTTTAAGTTGGTGCTAGACCAAGTCACAACTTTTGGGAACTATTGGGATGAAATGGCTACATTTTGCGTGTAAGAAGAACATGAGGTTATGGATCAGGGGCAGAATGCTATGGTTGGCATATTTGACCCTCCTAACCATATGCTGAATTTTCGATGTAGGAGGTGAGGCCTAGTGAAGTCATTATGGTCATGGGGGCAGATCTCTCATGAATGGCTTGGTGCTCTCCCTGCAGTAACAAGTGAATTCTGGCTTTATTACTTTTTTCATAGCTGCTTGTTAAAAAGAGCCTGGCACCTTACTTTCCTCTCTTGCTTTCCTCTCTCACTCTGTGAACTCGGAACATGCTGGTTCTCCTTTCCTTTCTGCCATGAGTGGAAGCAGCCTGAAGACCTCACCAAAGGCCTAAGAGATGCCAATGCTATGCTTCTTGTACAGCCACCAGACTGTGAGCCAACAAACCTCTTCTTTATAAATTCTCAGCTTCAGGTATTCCTTTATAGCAACACAATGGACTAAGACAGTTTCTAATTTCTCTACACACCTAGAACCAGCATGTCCTGAGTGGGTGATCTTAATACCTGATAATCACAGACATACCATTTGTGACAAAGTTTTCCAAATTGGAGACAATCTGGAGGGTATCAATCCTACCCCAGGTCCTGGCTTGCTTCAGAAATCCTCGATTGAGGGTGGATATGTTTCTTCCCATATCTCCATGAACCAGTATCTCCTATAGTTGAAGACCACCCTGGAGCCAAATGTACAAATAGGTCTTGTTATCTGAGGGCAGCTCAAGTCCGCTACCTCATTGTTTGCTCCTGAATCCTCATTTTGGCTCAGGAAACTAACATTTAAAAGTGGTTAAGCGGTGAATTAAATGTGGCTATTTTGTAGACTCATGTTTAGGAAGCACCTTTTAACCCTTTTCCTGTTTAAAAAAAAAAAAAAGCTCACTGCCAGTGCTCATTTAATTTTACATAAACACACTTTTTGAGGCTGAAGAAAATCTGACTTATTTTCAATGTAAAAATGTAAAAACTGTTCTTAGAGTTATTTCTAAAGAGAACTAACATCAGAATTCTACGAATCATCACAATCATCTATTTTGGAGAGATTGGATTCATCAAATGAATCTTCGGCCAACAAGTGTGGGAAAATGATGTTAACATCACACATACGAATGCTACGCTTTCCAGGATTTAACATTTCCAGTGATCAAGAATTACTGTATTTTGTAAGTCATTCACAGATGGTTCTGCATGATACGCAGGGGCCACCCAAAAGCAGACAGCTGCAGCACTACAGCCCCTTTGATGTCCTACATCCCTGAAGGACAGCAATGAAGGGAAATCTTCCCAGTGGGCAGAACTTCAAGCAGTGCACCTGGTTGTGCACTTTGCATGGAAGGAGAAATGACCAGATGTGTGATTATATAGTGATTCATGGCCTGTAGCCAATATTTTGGCTGGGTGGTCAGGGACTTGGAAGAAGCATGATTAGAAAGTTGGTGACAGTGCTTTGCAGGGATGGGGCAAAGTTCTCCAGAAGGCTGTGTATGCCCTGAATCAGCATCCAATGTATTAGTACTCTTTCTCTCATAGCCAGGATTCACGGTCCAGGAATCAAGGGGTGGAAGTGGAAGTGGCACCACTCAGCATAACTCCTAGTGATCCACTAACAAAATTTTTGCTTCCTATTCCCGTGACTTCACCTTCTGCTGGCCTAGAGATCTTAGTTCTAGAGGGAAGAACGCTGCCACCGGGAGACACAATGACAATTCCATTAAACTGAAAGACAGTCATCTGGACACTTTGGGTTCCTCCTACCTTTAAGTCAACAGGGTAAGAAGGGAGGTACAGTGTTGGCTGGGGTGATTGACCCGGGCTATCAAGATGAAATCAGTCTACTACTTCACAACAGAGGTAAGGAAGAGTATGCATTAGGGCGTCGCTTAGTATTACCATGCTGTGTGATTAAGGTCAATGGGAAACTACAACAGCCCAATCCAGCAGGACTACAAGTGACCCAGATCCTTCAAAAATGAAGGTTTGGGTCACTCCACCAGGAAAAAAACATGACCTGCTGAGGTGCTTGTATATCAGGTATACATAGGTATGCATACTGGGTAGTAGAAGAAGGTAGTCATCAATACTGGCTATGACCATGTGACCAACTGCAGAAAAGAGGACGGTAATTGTCATGAGTATTTCCTCCTTTTGTTAAAACCATATTTGTGCATGTATATACTTGTACTAAAAAAAATCTTCATTTTATTTTCTTTATCATGTGACATAAGATTTATTGACTTCACATCAGCATTTAAGTATTGTTTACTTTATGTAATAGTATTTGGGGTGAGGATTGGTGCGTTTCCAGTTGTAGGAAGGATAGTTGTATTAGGCATAATTATGACCTTATTATTGTATTTATTTGAATACTATGTATGATCTCAGGAGATGTGTATGGGTTCAAGTTAACAAAGGGTAGACTTGGGATGGTTAATTCTGAGTGTCAACTTCACTGGATTGAAGAATACAATGTTGATCCTGGGTGTGTTTCTGAGGGTGTGGCCAAAAGAGATTAACATTTGAGTCAGTGGGCTAGAAAAGGCAGACCCACCCTTAATCTGGGTGGGCAGAATCTAATCAGCTGTCAGCATGGCTAGAATATAAGCAGGCAGAAAAACATGAAAGGAGAGACTGGCCTAGCCTCACAGTCTATATCTTTCTCCTGTGCTAGATGCTTCCTTCCCTTGAACATCATACTCCAAATTCTTCAGTTTTGGAACTCGGGCTGGCTCTCTTTGCTCCTCAGCCTGCAGATGGCCTGTTGTGGGACCTTGTGATCACGTGAGTTCATACTTAGTAAACTCCCCTTTATATATATTTAAATATATATATATATATTCCACTAGTTCTGTCCCTCTGGAGAACGCTAATACACTATTCTGGATGCCACTAAGAACATTCGTGACTCATGAAAGGAGGGCAAAATATACACTTGAACAGGAGTTTGGAAGATGTTGATTCCAGCCCTCATAGATGGATGACTTTGAGGAATTCAGGACTTCAGTGGGGAAAGTAATTGCAGATTTGGTGAAAATAGCAAGAGAACTAGAATTAGATTGAAAACTGACTATTACTGAGTGGTTGCAGTCTCATATAATTTTCACAAATGAGAAGTTGCTCTTTATGGATGAACAAAGAAAGTGGTTTGGTGAAATGGATTTCACTTCTGATGAAGATGCTATGAAGAATGTTGAAATGAAAACAAAGGATTTAGAATATGACATAAAGATCGCTGATAAGATCATGACAAGGTTTGAGAGAATTATCTATATACTATGATGTTCGCACAATGAAAAAGTTACCTAACAAAGCCCTTCTCAAGAAGATAGCCAGGCATTACATGACACATGACTGTCATTAGTGACGGGAAAAGAGTTACTTTTGCCATTTTTAATGTTTTTCTCCATGTCTATAGCTTTTGTCCTTCATATCCGTCATTACTACTATTTTGTGAGATTGTGTAATTTTTTAAATGACATTTGGATTCCCTTCTCATTTCCTCTTGAGTGTATTCTACAGTTATTATCTTTGTAGTTGCTGTCTGGATGACATACAACTTCATAGAGTTATAACAATTTACATTGAATCAACATCAATTTAACTTCCATTTCATATAAAAACTAATTTTCCCAGGTTTTTTTCCCATTTCATATTATTTTTGTCACTCATTAGGACATTATATATTGTGTACATATTAACAAATAATTATACTTATTTCTGTGTTTTAAATTCTGAAGAAAAATAGAATACAAACCAAAAATTCAAAAATACATGTTTTCATATTTTGCCATATATTTATTTACATAGACTAGAAGTGTTTATAGCTCTATATGGCTTTGAGTTACTGTCTACTTCCTTCTATTCAACTGAAGTATTACCTCCAGCATTTCTTTTTTTTTAATTATTTATTATTATTATTTATTATTATTATACTTTAAGTTTTAGGGTACATGTGCACAATGTGCAGGTTAGTTACATATGTATACATGTGCCATGCTGGTGTGCTGCACCCACTAACTCGTCATCTAGCATTAGGTATATCTCCCAGTGCTATCCCTCCCCGCTCCCCCCACCCCACAACAGTCCCCAGAGTGTGATGCTCCCCTTCCTGTGTCCCTGTGTTCTCATTGTTCAATTCCCACCTATAAGTGAGAATATGCGATGTTTGGTTTTTTGTTCTTGCAATAGTTTACTGAGAGTGATGATTTCCAATTTCATCCATGTCCCTACAAAGGACATGAACTCATCATTTTTTATGGCTGCATAGTATTCCATGGTGTATACATGTGCCACATTTTCTTAATCCAGTCTATCATTGTTGGACATTTGGGTTGGTTCCAAGTCTTTGCTATTGTGAATAGTGCCGCAATAGACATATGTGTGCATGTGTCTTTATAGCAGCATGATTTATAGTCCTTTGGGTATATGCCCAGTAATGGGATGGCTGGGTCAAATGGTATTTCTAGTTCTAGATCCCTGAGGAATCGCCACACTGACTTCCACAATGGTTGAACTAGTTTACAGTCCCACCAACAGTGTAAAAGTGTTCCTATTTCTCCACATCCTCTCCAGCACCTGTTGTTTCCTGACTGTTTAATGATCACCATTCAAACTGGTGTGAGATGGTATCTCATTGTGGTTTTGATTTGTATTTCTCTGATGGCCAGTGATGATGAGCATTTTTTCATGTGTTTTTTGGTTGCATAAATGTCTTCTTTTGAGAAGTGTCTGTTCATGTCCTTTGCCCACTTTTTGATGGTGTTGTTTTTTTCTTGTAAATTTGTTTGAGTTCATTGTAGATTCTGGATATTAGCCCTTTGTCAGATGAGTAGGTTGCCAAAATTTTCTCCCATTTTGTGGGTTGCCTGTTCACTCTGATGGTAGTTTCTTTTGCTGTGCAGAAGCTCTTTAGTTGAATTAGATCCCATTTGTCAATTTTGTCTTTTGTTGCCATTGCTTTTGGTGTTTTAGACATGAAGTCCTTGCCCACGTGTATGTCCTGAATGGTAATGCCTAGGTTTTCTTCTAGGGATTTATGGTTTTAGGTCTAACGTTTAAGTCTTTAATCCATCTTGAATTGATTTTTGTATAAGGTGTAAGGAAGGGATCCAGTTTCAGCTTTTTACATGTGGCTAGCCAGTTTTCCCAGCACCATTTATTAAATAGGGAATCCTTTCCCATTGCTTGTTTTTCTCAGGTTTGTCAAAGATCAGACAGTTGTAGATATGCAGCGTTATTTCTGAGGGCTCTGTTCTGTTCCATTGATCTATATCTCTGTGTTGGTACCAGTACCATGCTGTTTTGGTTGCTGTAGCCTTGTAGTATAGTTTGAAGTCAGGTAGTGTGATGCCTCCAGCTCTGTTCTTTTGGCTTAGGATTGACTTGGCAATGCGGGCTCTTTTTTGGTTCCATATGAACTTTAAAGTAGTTTTTTCCAATTCTGTGAAGAAAGTCATTGGTAGCTTGATGGGGATGGCATTGAATCTATAAATTACCTTAGGCAGTATGGCCATTTTCACCATATTGATTCTTCCTACCCATGAGCATGGAATGTTCTTCCATTTGTTTGTATCCTCTTTTATTTCATTGAGCAGTGGTTTGTAGTTCTCCTTGAAGAGGTCTTTCACATCCCTTGTAAGTTGGATTCCTAGGTATTTTATTCTCTTTGAAGCAATTGTGAATGGGAGTTCACTCATGTTTTGGCTCTCTGTTTATATGTTATTGGTGTGTAAGAATGCTTGTGATTTTTGCACATTGAGTTTGTATCCTGAGACTTTGCTGAAGTTGCTTATCAGCTTAAGGAGATTTTGGGCTGAGACAATGGGGTTTTCTAGATATACAATCATGTCATCTGCAAACAGGGACAATTTGACTTCCTCTTTTCCTAATTGAATAACCTTTATTTTCTTCTCCTGCCTGATTGCCCTGGCCAGAACTTCCAACACTACGTTGAATAGGAGTGGTGAGAGAGGGCATCCCTGTCTTGTGCCAGTTTTCAAAGGGAATGTTTCCAGTTTTTGCCCATTCAGTATGATATTGGCTGTGGGTTTGTCATAGATAGCTCTTATTATTTTGAGATACATGCCATCAATACCTAATTTATTGAGAGTTTTTGGCATGAAGTGTTGTTGAATTTTGTCAAAGGCCTTTTCTGCATCTATTGAGATAATCATGTGATTTTTGTCTTTGGTTCTGTGTATATGCTGGATTACATTTATTGATTTGCGTATATTGAACCAGCCTTGCATCCCAGGGATGAAGCCCACTTGATCATGGTGGATAAGCTTTTTGATGTGCTGCTGGATTCAGTTTGCCAGTATTTTATTGAGGATTTTTGCATCAATGTTCATCAAGGATATTGGTCTAAAATTCTCTGTTTTGGTTGTGTCTCTGCCTGGCTTTGGTATCAGGATGATGCTGGTCTCAGAAAATTAGCTAGGGAGGATTCCCTCTTTTTCTATTGATTGGAATAGTTTCAGTAGGAATGGTACCAGTTCCTCCTTGTACCTCTGGTAGAATTCGGCTATGAATCCATCTGGTCCTGGACTCTTTTTGGTTGGTAAGCTATTGATTATTGCCACAATTTCAGCTCCTGTTACTGGTCTATTCAGAGATTCAACTTCTTCCTGGTTTAGTCTTGGGAGAGTGTATGTGTCAAGGAATTTATCCATTTCTTCTAGATTTTCTGGTTTATTTGCATAGAGGTGTTTGTAGTAATCTCTGATGGTAGTTTGTATTTCTGTGGGATTGGTGGTGATATCCCCTTTATCATTTTTTATTGTGTCTATTTGATTCTTCTCTCATTTTTTCTTTATTAGTCTTGCTAGCGGTCTATCAATTTTGTTGATCCTTTTGAAAAACCAGCTCCTGGATTCATTAATTTTTTGAAGGGTTTTTGTGTCTCTATTTCCTTCAGTTCTGCTCTGATTTTAGTTATTTCTTGCCTTCTGCTAGCTTTTGAATGTGTTTGCTCTTGCTTTTCTAGTTCTTTTAATTGTGATGTTAGGATGTCAATTTTAGATCTTTCCTGCTTTCTCTTGTGGGCATTTAGTGCTACAGATTTCCCTCTACAAAGTGCTTTGAATGTGTCCCAGAGATTCTCGTATGTTGTGTCTTTGTTCTCGTTGGTTTCAAAGAACATCTTTATTTCTGCCTTCATTTCGTTATATTCCCAGTAGTCATTCAAGAGCAGGTTGTTCAGTTTCCATATAGTTGAACAGTTCTGAGTGATTTTCTTAATCCTGAGTTCTAGTTTAATTGCACTGTGGTCTGAGAGACAGTTTGTTATAATTTCTGTTCTTTTACATTTGCTGAGGAGAGCTTTACTTCCAACTATGTGGTCAATTTTGGAATAGGTGTGGTGTGGTGCTGAAAAAAATGTATATTCTGTTGATTTTGGGTGGAGAGTTCTGTAGATGTCTATTAGGTCCGCTTGGTGCAGAGCTGAGTTCAATTCCTGGGTATCCTTGTTAACTTTCTGTCTCGTTGATCTGTCTAATGTTGACAGTGGGGTGTTAAAGTCCCCCATTATTAATGTGTGGGAGTCTAAGTCTTTACTTAAGAGTCTAACTCTTTACTTTAAGAGTCTAACTCCTCTTTGTCTCAGAAGAGTACCCGGCCATGTGTGGTGTCAGTCTGCCCCTACTGGGGGGTGCCTCCCAGTTAGGCTGCTCGGGGGTCAGGGGTCAGGGACCCACTTGAGGAGGCAGTCTGCCCATTCTCAGATCTCCAGCTACATGCTGGGAGAACTACTGCTCTCTTCAAAGCTGTCAGACCCCGGGACATTTAAGTCTGCAGAGGTTACTGCTGTCTTTTTGTTTGTCTGTGCCCTGCCCCCAGAGGTGGAGCCTACAGAGGCAGGCAGGCCTCCTTGAGCTGTGGTGGCCTCCACCCAGTTGGAGCTTCTGGGCTGCTTTGTTTACCTAAGCGAGCCTGGACAATGGCAGGCGCCCCTCCCGCAGCCTTGCTGCCGTCTTGCAGTTTGATCTCAGACTGCTGTGCTAGCAATCAGCGAGACTCCGTGGGCGTAGGACCCTCCGAACCAGGTGCGGGATATAATCTCCTGGTGCGCCATTTTTTAAGCCTGTCGGAAAAGCTCAGTATTAGGGTGGGAGTGACCTGATTTTCCAGGTGCTGTCTGTCACCCCTTTCTTTGACTAGGAAAGGGAACTCCCTGACCCCTTGTGCTTCCCGAGTGAGGCAATGCCTCGCCCTGCTTCGGCTCTCGCACGGTGTGCTGCACCCACTTACCTGTGCCCACTGTCTGGCACTCCGTAGTGAGATGAACCCGGTACCTCAGATGGAAATGCAGAAATACCCGTCTTCCAGCATTTCTTGTAGAGAAAACAGGATTGGTAGTTTCTGTAGAATTTGGTTACATTCCAAGGGTTCCTGAAGCCAGGCATTGAACTTTATGAAATTCTGAGAAACTTTCTTTTAAAAATAGGAAGTGGAAATGGAGGGTGAAGAATTGGAATAAGCCTCTAGCAAATTTAGTAGTTACAAATAACCACCCTAATAATTATTTCACATCTTAAAAAAAGAAATGTTCTGCATGCTCAAGAAATTAAAAATTTTCCTTTGGCTTTATACACTTGACTACTAAGTTCAAAAAAATGAATGTTTCTTTAATAACTACGTCAATCAACTTCAGCAGATGTGAAATAATCATTAGAGTAAAAAAAGTTGATTTGGAACAGGATGACAGTGGTTTATATCAGTTTTATTTGAGGCATGCCAACAGTGAATGTTAGACACTAATGTAGGGATGTTAGAGTAGATAATTTCATGTTCCATTCAGGAGTCTGGGGAAAAAAGCAGAGCTAGAGACACTGTTTGGGGGTTTCTCGGCCTATAAGTGGTATGTAAACCAGAAAATATGTAAGATTATCAATGGAATGACAATAGACAGAAAATCACCCAAAAATTGGCATAGGGAACTCCAAAGTGTATGGCTTTTTCCAATTTTCAGGAACAAATAATTTAAGAAAAGATTGTGGTTACTATGAAACTTGAGGGGATGCTTATCAGCTGAGAGACATGGCTTTGATGGGGTTAAGGTGGCCAACAGCATAAGAACAGTTGAGAATGAATGTGTTAGAAAGTGTGCCCAGGTTAAAAAACACTGTTCTTCTCAAAATGCCTTAATCAATAGGCCATGACATTGTCCCAAGTTTTCAAAAAGAGTCATCTGAAATAAAAATTTGCATCCTCATGATTAGCTGATGAAATTTATACCCCTAAAAACTGCAGAATAATTACATGTCTTTGTAAGAGGTGGTCCTAAAAGTTACCAAAGTTTAAAAGCATCATGCTATTTTCCACATAATGTTTTTATTTTCCACGTAATGTTTTCAAAAGATGTTTGAGATTTTTGAAAATTGGATTAGATGTATTACCTACCATTTTAATATTAATTTGGCAGTACTATGTAATGACTTTGGGATATTTTGTGTTTCATATTTGATAGTGTACCTTATTTTATGTATAAAACAAAAAATACTTGTATATTATATACAAATATGTGTACACGTGTGCATATGTATATACATGCACACACACAAGTACACACATATACACGTGTGCATATGTACATATATACACATGTGCACATGTGTACATATGCACACATACATACGTACACATGCACACATACATATGTACACATAGTTCATTGTTTCTTTGATGTCCTGCCCCACCACGGCCCCCCAAGGGCACTGGTGTCACAGGGCCCACTTGGGGGGGTCAAGGCAGGACTCTCAGCTCTGCGGTTTTTAAAAACATTGTTCAGTGTTTTATTTACAACTATGATTATCAAAAAAAGTGCCAATATTTTCCAAGCAGAGATGGGATTGACTCCCTTCTCCTAACCTCCCCCATAGCTTCTTTCAATTATTTCTCCTTGGTGGGTGCCCTGACCACCCCTCTCACAGGGATGCCTCCTCCCCAGGCTCCAGGAGCTCTGACCCTTGCGCTGCTGTAGGGAGCCTGTGGATTGCTGGTCATCCTGTCAATATCGCTTACCTTCCAGAGTTCATGCTGTGCGAGTTCTTCCTGAAAGAGCTAAAGAGGCACTAACTGATCCACACCTGTCACCTGCTCCTTCTCTAGAGGCTGAAAACTCTACTGCAGTCCCACTATAGTATGTCTATAAATGATTATTATTCCCCCACTCCTAACTTACAGGCAAATCACACAGTTTTTAGCCCTGTTGAGCCAGAAGAAAGCACACACACACACACACACACACACACACACTTCTGAGCCAGAAGAAAACACACACTACAGAACAGAGTAGGTAAAGAATCTTTGAGAAAACATTCAATTATTTCAAAATGATAAAAATTTATTGTCTTTCTGGCCTATGGACTCAGCTGTAGTTGACTGAAGTCGCTAAACAGGACGGATTTAAGTAGAGGTGATATGTCCAGTCACCGGCATAGAGACGTCCTCTGCGTCACCATCCACACACAGGGCTTCTGGTAGACATCAGGCAAAGCCCTCCATGTTAATATTCATCTGAATATGGATAATTAGGGTGGCTAGCAAAACTGAAAAGAGAATAATGTATAATATAAATGCAATGACTCCATTACTAGGGGAGTAGTAAAGTGATTTCAATGAAGCTGTCATTAGTATGAATGTTAAGTTGTCTGACTAGTTGTAGAATCTGCCTTTCTTACCTTTATGAACATGGCTTCATAATACAGTATTTTCAAAATAATAAATTATTCAATCATATTCCCTTATCTGGAAGTTAACACGTAAAACACACAAAGTCAAATATTCAAGTATATTCCTGTACATCTGTCAGCAGAGCAGAGATACTCTGATTATACTTTCTTTTGTTACTTTACTTATTACCTGCTACTGTCTACTGTATGCAATATATTTTGTAAGATTCAGAAATGTAAATTGTTATATATGATATAGGGTCTAATATCCAAGGAGCTACAGTGCATTAAAAATTCTTATATAGAAATAACATGAAATATAAAGGAACAGATAAACACCAACTTATTACATTTTTAATGGATGATAAGAATTACTCATGCTCGCTACTCTTCCTTTCTTTTACATGGTTTCCTTTTTTTATTTATTTTCCTTGAAACTAAAAAAATATTAACAATGATATCTACCAATTTTTAAGCACTTATGAAGGGCCACTGTACTTATGCTTTTTCACACACTATCTCACCCTATCACTTGTTAAAATTTCCACTGCCAGCAGTTACATAACTTCCTGCTTTTTTTTTTTGAGATGGAGCCTCACTCTGTCATTCAGGCTGGAGTGCAGTGGTGTGATCTCAGCTCACTGCTGCATCCTTTGCCTCCTGGGTTCAAGCGATTCTCCTGCCTCAGCCTTCCAAGTAGCTGGGATTACAGGTAAGTGTCACCATGCCTGGCTAATTTTTATATTTTTAGTAGAGACAGGGTTTCACCATGTTGGCCAGGCTGGTCTCGAACTCCTGACCTCAGTCGATCTGCCCACCTCAGCCTCCCAAAGTGCTGGGATTATAGGCGTGAGCCACTGCGCCCGGCCATAACTTCCTGCTTTTCCTGCATTTACATGAATGACCGTCTATGAATCCTAGAACCTTAGACCATGAAGGAATAGTAAAGATCTTTTATCAGCTACAAATTATATACAACAATGGAGCTTCTGCCTCCACACTCACACTCCTTGATTTTAAATTTTTTTAAATTCTCTGCCTTGAGAGCTCCATATTGCAGGAAATCAAGGACAAGCGCTCCTATTCACTCCACTAAGGAAGGCTTTCTGGAGGCAAAAGCAGAGTTTGGGGCATGAACAAACATGCAAGGAGAAGGAGGAAAAACATTTGAAATAATAAAAGATGCTGAATTGACAGGATCTAGCAAGCAATTCCATATGAAGGAGGTGGGAATTGGCACCTGGACCACAAAGTTGATGGAAATGTTTTTGATTTGATAAGGAGCTGAGCAGGTTTGGGACAATGTGATATAAGCACAGATTTGGAAACATCTAATGAAGTCACATGGGCAGTATCCACAGCATGTCCAGTGGTAGAAACACCAGGCCTATATGGAACGTGCAGACTTGGCAATGATGTTGGCTGCTCTGGAAAGTTCCATGGAGTCAGGAGAGCAGAGGCACAGGTTGACCCATGCTGATCCCTGCCCACTCACCCTGCCAGAGAACAGAGCTCTGGAGTGAATCCAGCAGGAGAGTTCCAGTCTCACCTCTGACTCACATTGGCCTCTGTCCCTCTGGTATGGAGGTCACTCTCAACACCCATCCTACATTCCTTCTCCAGAAATAAATTAGATCACCCATTTACAAAGGAAACTTACCTATCACTGTTAAAATAGTGGAGATTTCTGTCTAGGCCATCTATGGCTTTCATGTCCTCTGCAGTCAACTGGAACTCAAAAACCTATCAGAAATAAAAAACTTTTATTATTTTTAGATTGCCAGTTGTGAATCCCCAAGTATATTAGACAGTAGGGTGCAGAGACAATACTTAAAATATTGGTAAGTTTTAAACAGTTATAGAAGTCAGCTCTAAACACTCAGGTGGGTCAATGAATAGCTCACGAAAAATAAGCAGAAATCCATTCCTAGATATTATGTATTGAAACTGTGCAACTCTGCAGACAAAGAGAAAATTTCAACAGAAAATGGAGAAGAAACAGCGCTGACATTGTGCCCACATGATAGGGTCACATTGTGCCCACATGATAGGGTCATGTACCTAGAAGGCCCACAAGAATCTAGAGGCAAATTTTTAAATAACAAGATTATATATTAAGTTTGATAGATATTGTTGAATTTCTATATCTCTTTAATAAACAGGTATAATGCAAACAACATTTGTTTTCAACATAATTCAAGGCAGGAATTGTCTAATTACTAACAATTTCATGTCTAAAGGAAACAGATACAGGCTTGAAGTGTATCTTACTCTCTAAATTTGAGAGACTTTAAATATCAAGAGGATGCCACTAATTGCTAACACATGGAATTGAATAAATCTATAAATTGACTAAATCACTCTAATAGTGATACAGAGAATGAGAGAGAGAGAATAAAAAACATGAACAAGTTAACAATTAGTCTAGGTAAAAGGTGTTCATTACATTTTTCTTTTAACATTTCTACACATTAGAAAATCCACAAAACAAAAAGGAAAACGTTATCAAGAGGTTCTAATAATTTTCAGTATTCTATGGATAAATATTTAAAAATACATATGGTTTAATGGAGAATGTTATAAAATTAATGATATATATATTAAAAGGCCATTTAAATAGTTGGAAATTCATCATAGGTTGAAAGTCTCAATATTGTCAAAAAGTTCTCTTCACAGTGAACTGCAGTTTCAATACAATATCAACCAAAGACTAAAATATGTACTCTTTCATGGATGTTGATGTTTCAAAATTTCATATAACAGAATAGTCAGTCAAGAATAATCAAGATATTATCAAATAAAATAAAGAGTTAGAAAAAAAGTTGTACCATTCTGGTAGCAAGACCTTTCATTATTTAGACAGTACAGAAAAGTAAATAAGTCAATTGAAGACAAAAGAGAGGCAAGAATATTATTTGTGAATGAATGTTTCATTTATGGTAGAGTAAAAAATCAAGATATGTGAGCAAATGTGAATGCTTTTCAATAATTGTTGGTGGCACCTTTTGATATCAATTTAGAAATTCCATGTGCATATTTGGGTTTTTATTTTACTTAGTATTGAAAAAGAAATTCATTTGAATTTACAACTAATTTATAAGTAAAGAGAATTACCAATTTTGCAAGATAACATATTAAAAGATTGTCATGTTCCCAATATAAGAAAAGACATGCCACTCATCAACCACAGGAAAGAGGCATGAATAATTTAACTACATGAAAAGTAGCAACTTTTGTTCATGAATACATAACTACAGAGAAAACCACAGCACATATGCAATTTGGGAGGTGGTACTTCAATAATACATCTAAATCTCTAAACGATTAATACCCAGAATATATATATGTATGTATGTGTAATCTATCTCATATATCTTATTAAACTATAATATATATATCAATCTATCATATATATTAACCTATCATATATTAATCCATCATAGATTAATAAGAAACACTTCCTCCAACACTCACATGTCCCTGTATCCACTTGCTTGGTTATATGAATTTCTAGCTCTTTCCAATAAGTGGTGGTGTCTGTTTACCCATCCCTTGAGTCTGGCCTGTCCTGTAATGTGGGTAATATTTGCCAGAAGCAATGGCGTGGCAGCCCTGAGCCTAGACATGAAAAGGCTTTGCATGTGTCCACTCACTGCCTTGGGGTCATGCCATGTGCTGAGGTGAAGTCTGGGCTGGATGGCTGCAGGATGAACTATATGGAGGAGAAAATGGCACCCAGACAAATGTCCCATTGACATCTTGAAGCAGAGCTATCTCGTTGTCCTGCAAACACATGAGAGAGCCCAGCCAAGAACAGAACTTGACTAAGTTCAGGCTGAGGCCATGCTAATTTTCTAACTAGAGAATCCTGAGTAAATCAGTGGTTTTCATCTTAAACCCCTATGTTGAGGGTGATTTGTTTAACAGCTCTATTTAATAGTATAATTATGGTCTCCTATACTTAAAAAAAAGACAAGCAACTAAGAGTCAAAGAAAGACTTAAACAGGCAGTACACAAACAGAAAACTCCAAGTGAATAAATATGTGAAATTTTAACTGAGCGTACGAAGAAATGGAAATGAAAAATCCACAATGACTGGTAGACTAAAGAACACCTAATGCTACTCCACATTTCTGAAGATGAAGAGGAGGCCAGGAGCGGTGGCTCACACCTGTAGTACCACTTTGGGAGGCCACAGCAGGTGGGTTGCCTGAGGTCAGGAGTTTGGAACTAGCCTGGCCAACATGGTGAAATACCTTCTCTATTAAAAATTACAAAAATTAGCCGGGCTTGGTGGTAGGCACCTGTAATCCCAGCTACTCAGGAGGCTGAGGCAGGAGAATCATCCCATCTGGGAGACAGAATGAGACTCTGTCTCAAAAAAAAAAAACCAAAACCAAACAAACAACATGAAAAAATGATGTTCCTGGTGCAGGGATGCAGAGTAGATTGTCAACTTAATGCTGAAATAAAAAAATCTCCATTTTTGGTCCCATCTTAATTCTCTGCACCTGTGCTGCCTCTCCCGTGGTAGAGTAGAAGAAACCCTCAGGATGCACGCAAAGCATTCATATGGGAAATACAGGGAAATGGAGCTGGCCCAAGGCTGTCCTGAGAGCCTTACAAGAAGCACACGTGTGAAGGACACTGTGCAGGAGACCTGAGGCCCACAGCCCCGCTCCTCACCTGCACGTTCTGTCTGATGCGCTGCTCATTGTAGCTCTTGGCCAGGACCACAACCCCACGCTGCAGCTGGTAGCGCAGGGCAATCAGGGCTGGGGTTCGCTTGTGCTTTTTTGCCAAGGCACAAAGGACTGGGTCCTCCAAGAGCACCGGGGAGTTCGGGTCCACCCTGGAAGGAAAGGCAGAAAGGCTGAGGCCCTGAGGCTGGCGATAGTTTGTTAGGCGGCTCCCTAAACAGACTAAGGCATCCACTCTGCACCGGAGCTTCTCAAGCGAGGCCCCCGAGCATCACCATCAGCATCATCCAAGATCTCGTCAGAAATGCAATTCTCTTTCCTCTCCATGAGCCACTTGAAACTTAACTACAGGAAACTGAGGATGCTCTGACTAAAAAATTTTCTGCAAAATGAAGGTTTATGTAAAGGTCCCATTGTTTTTATTACCATCGTTTGTCTCGTTGAGATCCCAGAGCACTATAGGCAACCAGAACAATATCTTTCGACTTGCAGAAATCTAGCAATTTACTCCGGTTGAAATACGGATGACATTCTACCTGCAGTTGACCAAAAGAGAGAAGCATCAATTTATATGAAATAGTTATGTTAATATTGAAAAGATGAAAGTAAGGAAGCTGAATAATAATCAGTATAGCATTATATTTGAGCTGAGGATATTATTGTCAAGTAATAACCTTTTTCATAGAAATAAATTTTATATATCTTCTAAAAGTATAAATGGAAATGCCATTTCTGAACAGAAGCTCATCTATGAATCAGATCCTGGCTTCCAAAGACCTTTGACAACTAGAAGGAGATGTAACAAGTTCCATATCTGGGATACAGTAAGATTCTTAGAGCCTTTGGGCTTCAGATTGTGCCAGAAAGCAAGAATTTGGTCAAGGACTCGTGAGTGCAAGTCTGAAAGACAAAAGCACTACTTTCAAAGAAATGTCACTGGTGATGTTTGGATAGATTTCAGCATCAAGAAAAAAATCTACCCATTGGGTAAGAATGAGCACTAACAAAAATTAATAAAATTAATTAAAAATCTTAAGGAAAAATGTCCAAGTCCAGAGTAATGAGTGAGATAATCAGAGAGCAAGAAAGAACAAAATAATTTGCCTCCACCATTGGTGGTTATTATAGTAATCTCTTAGGAAATTGATATTTAGAGGCAAGTATTAAACTTTGTCTTTGAGGAATATTTGTTCTTCATTTTGATTTGGTGAAGGATTTTTTTTCATAGTAAAATGTCACGTAAGAATAGTTAAATAAGGTTTTAAAATTGAAAATGATTATCTAAAAACTCCAAAAAATAATAAATACAATAATAAATAACCATTAAATACAAAAGTATTAGTGATGTTTACACAATCATATGTGAAAATTTGTCATGGAATATGACTTCTTCTGTTAGGAATTATCACCCAGTGGATTATAAGTAATTGCTGAATGGGAAACCTATGATTATAAAGAACAGATCAGCTCACAACTTGTTTCCATTCTGTTTTAAAAGGGAGCACTATAAAAGACATTTCCATTAAACAGTGGGAAATTCAAATATAGACTGGATGTTAAACGACATGAGGGCATTGCAGTTCGTTTCCTTAGATACAATAATTATACTGTAGCTGGAAGAATGTCTTCATTTCTGTGACATACTTTATTTAGGTCTATAGAGGTGAATTGTCATCTTTCCAATTTATTTTAAAGAGATTTTGAAAATATTATATGTATTTATGCAGATATACCCACATAAACATTTGCCATAAATATTTGGCAATGTGGCAAAGTGTTAACAATTTTGAATATAAATGGTTATGTTGAATCGTGTATTATTTTTATCAAATTTTCTGAAAGTTTGAAAATTATCATAATAAAAAATTGAAGGACTAATATTAAAACTGCATTTTCTTAATGTTTCTATTTGGATATGATGGAACTGTATCATTAGGCCAAATTCACAAATTTTATACACTTCACATTTCAATGGTAGATCTTTACTCATTGGCTCTAAGTTGTATAAAAGAATAAAAAAGTGTAAATTAGCAAAAAGGTAGAGTGACTTTAATTTTGAATTTTTTTGTGACATTTGGGGGAAGTCAATTTGATCAAGGAGGCCTGGAATCATTAACAATAACTCAGGGGGAAAAAAGGACTTATCCCTAAGCTATGAAAAAACCATGCATAGAATAGATGTGTTTAAACAACTGATTGGATGACAGACCCCAAAGAGAAGTAGCAGACTAAGACATGGGCAGTGATAGGTCAGGTCTATGTTCTGCTAAAGTTCCTCAGTGTTGATTTCATCCACTGTGAACAGTTACCTCCATAAACAGGTAATTTTTCTCTTTTTTTTTGAGACGGAGTTTCACTCTTGTTGCCCAGGCTGGAGTGCAATGGCGTGACCTCGGCTCACCGCAATCTCTGCCTCCTGGGTTCAAGCGATTCTCCTGCCTCAGCCTCCCAAGTAGCTGGGATTACAGGCGTGTGCCACCAAACTCAGCTAATTTTTTGTATTTTTAGTAGAGATGGGCTTTCTCCATGTTGGTCAGGCTGGTCTCAAACTCCCAACCTCAGGTGATCCACCTGCCTTTGCCTCCCAAAGTGCTGGGATTACAGGCGTAAGCCACTGCACCCGGCCTAATTTTTCTCTTTCTGACATGGATGACTTTCATTGTCTGCAGCTAATTTTTAGTATATCTATGCCCCTGGTCAAGAATTGTTGAAACATCAAGAAGAGGCATTCAGACATCCAAATTCCATGTAAACCCCTAGCACCTCTCTTCTCTTATTCTAACTCTCTGTTCACGTACAGCTCATTTCATCTTTTCCTAGCTTCATATCTATACACCATTCCCTCCAAATCACCTTCACCCATGCACTTTCTGGTCATCTTTCATAGCTTAGAGGTAAGTCCACCTTTCCTTGAGTTCTAATTGATGATTCCAGGCCTCCCTGATCAAATGGACCTCCCCTAAATATTACACACGATTCAGCATTAAACTCATTCCAATTTTTCCCTAATACTTTTCCAAGCAGGGTACAAACAAGAAATCTTCACGCCTTTCTTGACAGAAGCTTTGCTCTCTAGATAATCTTCTACTTCACAAAGATAACTGGGACAAAACAAACAGATATTTGGCAATAGGACAGGAAGAGGGGGCATGAAGAACCGAAAGGAGAGAAGGCCAAGGGAGCTCACCTGGTTGCAGACAGGCTTGTACTTGAGTCCTGGCTTGTTGAGGATCATCTCCAGCTGCCTGCGGTTGAAGTTTGACACCCCAATGGACTTGGCCAATCCTGCATCCTTACACTTCTCCATGGCCTGTGGAGAAAGGGGTTGTGAGGAATTATTTGTGCAGTTGGCTGCAAATCACGGTAAATGCAAGACAGAACTGTGAGAGCAACAACTTTCAAAGTATGACAATGAAAATAGCTAGCAGTGATTGTCAAAAAAAGAAAAATTCAAACAGCAAATAGGGGAAGAAGATAGAGGCAGCAAGAGTAAGAATTTCTATCTCTTCCTTAGGAAACTGGATAGATTAATGCACAAGCAAGGAAAGAGATTCCTGTCCTCCTTGCCCCCAAGTCTTGTGCCCCACTCTCTAAACATTCCTTTTGTGTTTTTCCCTTCATCTCACCAAAGCTACTCTTGTAAAGTTTCTGAATTTCTAGATCTAATGGTGCATATTCCATTCTTTCCTATTGAACCTGGGAAACAGATTTTCTCTTTTTGTCATCCTTCTCTGTGTCCTCTCCGCCAAGCACTCACCTCCCAGGTGGTACAGAGATCCACTATGTCAAATATTACTTTTCCATTTTCATCTGTTGGTGAAAGTTCCTCACCTGGCTGAAATAGAAGCAGTCATTTTAATGATGTCACAAATTAATTTCTCCACTCATAGCTGTAACCCCAGGTACCTTTAAGGACACTAATCCTCCATGAGACAGGTGGTACAATGCTCCAGAAAGTGATATGTGCTAAGTGTTTTACATATGAAGGTATAAGGAATGTATTCAGGAGACAGGCTTCCTCTAATCTCTTACAAATATTATATGCATGGAAAAGGACCATTTTCTAGGTCTTAATCAAGTTTCACAGTTGACTTATGTCACTTTATTCCGCCCTTATAATTTCCTCTATTGAAGTACCTCTCTTTGATTTGGAAATACCTTGATATCCAAAAATAATGGATTGTACTCTTGTACACGGTAGGATTATCAGACCACCTGAAGAGTTGATAGTCTTTGGGCAGGACTGTGAATCACATAGGGTCAGCAGAAGTTGGGAGACCCAGAGGAGTTGTCTTATGGTGATGACCATGAGCCTTGAGCTGCTCCAAAGCCATAATCGCCACCAATGAAAAAGTTTGGGTCAACAATAATAAAAAAAAGTGTTGGAGTTTAGAGATAAGAATAGACAAATGATACATTTTTGTAGACTATTTCATATCCTTAAATGTAGCCATGTCTTTGACTTCCCATTTTACATAACTCAGTAAACTCTTTTGCATTAACTAGCCTGAGTAGTTTTCTGTAACTTTAAATCAAAAGTTATACACTACACAGTAATTCCTGGCTAAATACAGCTTCAAACTCTATTGTGAAAGAAGAGGCAGCAGAATAATAAAGCTTTGCAAGTCCACATTAAGGGTTTCTAATTTAAGAACCATGCATAGTGGCTTCCACCAAATCTGCTTCAGCTTGAAATGGGGAGAGATGGTGGAAACTCATTGTGCATCACATGTGCAGCAGTTTTATTGGGCACCACAACTGCATGAAACTCTGTGTCTGGGAACATCCCAAGAGATGGACTCAAAAGCCACAACTAAGACAGTGCCTTGAAAGAGACTATTGTAATTTCAAGTTTTTGAGGAAGAGGCTTTGAGGTTGCTGTACTCTCTTCTCTTGTAGGTGTGCATTAGAGAAGTAGGATTCAAAATTTACTCGAAAGAAAGGAAATTAGGTGTTCCACTTACGGTTCTTCTTCTGTGTGATAATCCCTACATCCTCCTAATAAAAAGCTCTGTTCAACTATCCAGATAAACAATGTTTATAATGACAGCAGAAGCGCAATTTTATGCTCATACAAACTGCATACCTTTAGAGACATTGGAGAATGAATAAGATAGAGGTCAACATAGTCCAATTGAGCTTTCTTCAGTGAGTTTTCCAAGGCTGGTCGGACCAACTCTGGTCGATGAAAAGTGGACCAAAGCTGCAGAGGTTAAAGAATGGAGGTGATTTTGAATGAATGCTTGAGCAAATCTTATTACTTTGTGCCATCTAGTATTTAGATATTTTCCTACTGCTTCAAAATTTATGACCACTGGCAAACATATTCTCTTCCTTCTCATGATTCCTTTGGCTCTGACCTATCCTTATAAACTTTATTATACGTTGGATGTATAGTTTGTACATCTACTGAATGATAGGAGTAAATTCTTAAAATGTAAAGATTAGTATTAAGTAATAACTATGATGTTACCTGAATTATCTTCAGTAGAGTTTACAACTCATTTTAACAGTCTAATTCTTCTATCCATTCAACCCAATGCTTAAGAATAGCTATTTATGTTGCTTAGAAACTAAAGCAACATAAAAGGGGGGTAAAACAAGTTTTGAACATGCTCACTATGCTGGACACAATTTAGGACAATTTAAGTGTCTATTATTTAATACTCCCAGAGCTTTCTTATATTGCTTTCTATCTCACTGATAAAGATAGCAATTGAGAGAATAATAAGAAATCTTAGAAAATCACCCAGGCGATAAGAAAAACCATAACATGATTATTGTTCTCTGTGATTCTATAGCACATGTCAAATCACACTGATCTCAGCTGAAGCTCAAAAAAGTAAAGGGACTTTCAGGTCATAAATTGGAACACAGCCAAAATGAAAAGTGATCATCATTCCTTGATTTTGATTTCAGTTTTAGTATGTGAGTATGTGTGAATAAATTTGAACCCAGAAGCAAAATTCACCCACAACTACTCATCCAGTCATAGAATTGTCATCTCCACACAATCACAATAAATACATGTGCACACAAGCTCATCATAGACACAGTACCTTTGAAGTGTAGAATATGTCTTCTCTCTTCACACTGCCATCTGCAATCTTGCTTCGGATGGCCAGTCCAACCTGCTCCTCATTATTGTATAAATGAGCAGAATCTATATGGCGGAACCCAGCTTCTATTGCTAATTTTGTGACCTCCAAAGCTTTACTTCTCGGAACCTGGAGGAGCAACCAAAGGTAGTATCTGGTGATCACTGTGGCTGAGAGGTAGTTCAGGCACAAGCATTGACTTTTATACAAGAATCAGCTTTTCCTCCTGTCTGTATGTGGGGTGAAAAGTCCATCTCAGTTTGCCTGAGTCTTTCCTGGTTAGTAATAAAGGTTGAGCATCCCAGAAACACCTTCAGTCTCAGGCAATCTCTGGTTGATCACTGTTATGGAGGTACCAAATAACACCCTCAGATTCAGTGATTTGTTGGAAAAGTTAACATGACTGAAATAGTCCTAATTATTTTTAATATAGTGATATTATACATGGTAAAAATCACATGGAGTATAGAAGGGAAACGGTGCAAGCTCATATGAGTTCTCTCCCAGTGATATTACACAGAATGCTCACTCAGACTTCCTCCAACATCGTATTTGGGAAATGCTGTCTACAAGAGATGTTCTTTGGTGTCTCAGTTCTTGAGATTTTGACTGGATGCTAGTTACATCGACCCAACTAGGGTTCACTTGGGAAATAAAGCATCTGTGAATAGTAGTCTATTAAGTCTTTTCTGCATAGTCATTCTGGCTACACAACAGAACTGAACACTAGGGGTAAAGATGTATACTCTGAGGATATCGATTTGTACATTAAAAATTCACTGAAATCTGTTAAGAATTTACTAAGGTACAGTTCTGCCATAAAAAATAAGGCTATCTCTTTCAGGAAAGACAGAATTCCAGTGAAATTTAAAATTACTGACTTATTGACCAAATTTGGATAAAGATTTGAAAGGTATTTTTTAATGACAAAAATATAAATAAACTGTTTTCATTTTTACATGTATTTAAAGAAGCTTTCTTGTTTCGTTGAAATTACAAGGAACTAGATAACGGTCTCCCCGCCATCTCCTGAGAACAGTCTTTTTTTTTTTTTTTAAATCTTTTTTGAGAGCAGTCTTTAAGTGTGCCAACACTCAAAGGTTTACCAAGGCTGGAGCTTCAGTTGTGTCGTTATTTTCATTTCCTGCCCATGCCAATTTATATTAAAAATTAAACCACTTTTGTCACTGGTCTAGAAAATGTATCCTTGTAGATCATCACAACTTATCGATAAAGTGAGAGACTCAAATTTCAATAATTAGTTCCTATTCACACACTTAGTAGCCTGAGGACAGTCTTGGAATACAAGTTCTATCTAGAAAATGAGGTCTCCATTTTGTTCATTTTTGTGTCAGAAGACCACTCCTACCACTTTGATACAAATATGATGCATACAAAAAAGGACTAAGAATTTAGACTTTCCTTTGTTAGGTTCTAGATTTTACTTAAAATGAGGTGGTATTTTTTTCTTTCAGGAAGTTCTTTTTAAAAGTGAAATAGTACAGTGGAAACTCTAGTCCAGGTCCGGTAATACTGGGTGGCACTCACTGCCGCCCATCAGAACAGTGATACTCTGCCGACAGTTTTGTGCACACCATATCCAGTAATTTTTGCTATAAGTATTTCTCTGGATCGTATGTTCTTGGAAGATGGAAAGATTTCTTCAGTTGTAGAAACAGAGAAATCACTCCTATTGCAATTAATCTCCACCAGAGGGAGATGACCAACAGTGTTCTTCAATACTGAGTTTTACATATTCTGCCAAGCTGGGAACTAGACATGAACAGAAGAAAGAAACAGTGCACAAACGAAAAATAAGCAGTACGTGACCATAGGAATGGACCTCAATGCAGAACAAGGATTGCCTACTTTTTTCTCCTAGCCTAGGAAACCTAGACCAGTGAGTCATCCAGAGTAAGGTAGGAACACGAACCTTACAACCCAATACGGGTTTCACTTCTACTAGGTTTATTCTTTTGAAATCCGAAAACTAAAAGGAATTATTCTTACCTCTGGAGGTGCATAGGTGCCAAATCCCAATACAGGCATGAAGTGGCCATCATTTAGCTTTACACACTGGTGTTTGGAATCCATTCCCTGTCACTTGTCTGACTAGCAAATGTTTGCTGCTGCTTCTCCTCAGAGATTACAAAAACAATGGGCAGGAAACCCCTCCCCCCACCCCTGCAAACTGACTGATGGTTAACCAATGGCATGTAGGAGGAGGTACATAGGCAGTCTTATATGGTCTGTGGAGAAAATTGCATTCAGTTCATTTGTTTCTTATCAAAGAGAATTCCTAAGTAAATTATTATAATATATGGTTATAATAAACTCATTAATTTCTATCTAAAGTATTATTTTCTATTCTAAATCTCTATATTAAATTATTCAAAAGGATTTGTAGAACAAATAGCAACCATATGTTAGACTATAAAAACCTCCAGCTACAAATATCTTTTTTCGTTTCTGCCGTGATAATGCCCCTTCTTTATACTGCATCATTTGAAATAATTAACCATCTTACGTCTTTCTCTCACATACACATAATTTAAAGGAATGACTAATGAGAATTTTTCAAATAGTTGGTCCTCAATAAAAAATTAAAGTTAAAACTGTAAAAATATTTGCCTTTTTACATTTTCAATCAGAAAATTTATTTTGATTTTTCTTTCTTTGCGTTGTAAGAGAAATATTCATTTCTGAAGAAGATGCAGTCCTGATAAAGCTGTAATCCTGATGAGGGTGCAAATAAAAAGAAATTCTGGTGTAGTTTTTATTGGAGTGTTAATTATTAACAGTTTTTGGAGTTTGGACATCATTTAATATATGCAAGCAGTGCCTTAATAGTATTTGTTCTTCAACCAGGTTTATTACAGACTATCAAGAAGTAACTAGCCAAAAAACTGATAACCATTTTATATAATCTGTCATCTTGTTAAACATTATTTGTAAGGAAAAACTGGAAATTAATTACATATAAATGGATGAATAATTCTCATGTGGGATAGTTTTCACTTGTTCCTTCCTTTGGAGGGCAGATTAGAACATGATGAATGTAGTTTGCACAATACATTATCAACATCTTGGAGTTGTCAGAACTTGCAATGCCCTGATTTCGTTCTATTTACTTTTCCTCAAATAATAACCAAAAAGTAAGTTGAGAAATAAGTTAATTATTATACATTGATACAATATAATATAAAATCATTGAAAGCTTTTACAGAGTGATTTCAGCAATATGGTGGATCAAAAGGCCCCTACTTGTCTCATGGACGCGTCAAGAAGTGATCTGAAATTGACTAAAATAAACTTATTTATTTATGGGGGTGCTGAGTAGAAATGTAGTATGATGCCAAGGGCAAGAGATTAGGGGAAGAGACGTGCAATAGTCCGTCTAACCCATTGAGGGGAAGCTGGGGTGTGAATTTTTGAAATAGTAAGCTATTCAAAAGCCAGTAGGTATTTGGGGGAACTACTAATGGGCACACACAGTCCAGGCAGATACAAGTTCAGAAAATTGCTGACAAGGCCTTAGGGTTTTATGTTGGGCTTATGCTAAGACTAAGAACATACCAAGCATATTAGTTGATAATCGTCATGACACAGAACAAATCTATATAGAGTTAGAAAAATGTCTATATTTTGAAATGCTCAAATAAAATAATAAGGTATATAAAGAAACAGGAAAACACAGTCCCTTATAAGAAAGAAAACGAGTTGACAGAAATTATTTTTGAAGAACCATGAGCACTGAAATTAGTAGAGAAAGGTTTTAAAACAATTATCTTAAATATGCTAAAATTTCCAATTAAAAATATGGAAATAGAACTACAGGAAATTGGGAAAAGCATATACGGAAAAATGAGTGTATCAACAATGATGTAGAAATTATACAAAATAAACCAAACAAATTTTGGAGCTGAACGATATAACTGAAGTGAAAATCTCACTAGAGGATTTCAACAGCAATTTGAGCAGAATGAAGATATAATCTACATGTTTAGGGATAAGATATTTTACATCCTTGAGTCTAAGGCAAAAAAAAAAAAAAAGAGTAAAGAGATGTGAACAGACCCTAAAGGGCTTGTAGGACACCATCAAGCCAAGTAGTATACACAGCATTGGATTCTGAGAAGGAGAAGCAGGAGCCTATGGGGGTGGAGAGATTATGTGGTGAAAACAATCATCAAAAAGTTCTCAAATTGGCAACAGACATTAATCTAAATATGTGAGTAACTTAAAGAACTGGAGTTCAGATAAAGAGACCAAGGCCCACATACATTAAAATCAAACTCTAAAAGCCAACAACAAATAGACTATCTTAAAAGCAGCAGGAGAAACATAACTCTGTATTATGTACAGAACAATAAATTCTGTTCAAGATGATCAACAGATTTTTGATTAGACAATTTGAAGGATGTAATAGGTAATACATTTAATGTGGTAAAAATAAAACTGCCAACCAACAAATCTATATTTGGCAAAAATTTTTTTTTAATTAGAAAGTTATTAATACAATGTGAGATAAAAGCTGCAAGAGTCCATTGCCATTAGATCTGCTTTGCAAGAAATGGTAAAGGGACTAATTCAGCTTAAAATAAAAGCATTTTAGACAGTAACCTGAAACCATATAGAAGTATGAAGCCCTTTACTAAAGGTATACATATGGCAAAATGTGAAAATACGTGTTTTTGAAAGTTTGGTTTTATTCTACACTTCTTCAACGTTTAAAATACAAATGTGTACAAGTAAGTATAAATCTATGTTAACATGTACACAATGTATAAATTTGTAATTCATGAAATCAATAATGTGAAGTGGAAACGAAGCTGTGGAAGAAGTTTTGTATAGGATTGCAGTTAAATTGGCATTGCTTTCAAAGTAGATTTTTATAACTATAGGGTGCTGTATATAATCCCAAGAGTAACTACAAAGAAAATAACTACAGAATAAATAAAAGAGCAATTGAGAAAGGAATACAAATATTATTAAAAATCATACACAAAAAACATTGTTAATTAAGGATATGAGGATATGAAGGACAAAAAGCTAAAGACATAAATAAAAAATGACAAAGTAATTGCAGTCATGTATTACCTAACATTAGAGATATGTTCTGAAAAATACATGTTTAGGCCTGTGGCCACATTGACATTAGCCCATTGAACCAGACTTTGGAATTCTAGTCTCCAGAACTTCGAGAAAATTAATTTGTGGTGTTTCAAGCCATAACGTTTGTGGTAATTTGTTACAGCAGGAACAGAAAACTAATTTGGACGTAATTTCAGCAATTCTCATTCTCTCTTTCCTGCATCATCAGTTTTTTTTCTCTCTGCTAAGTTCTCCCTAAGAGCACACAGGCATGCTGTTTTTACTGTCATCACAAAAATAACCCTCATTTTACTCCGTTTTCTTCTTCGGTGGTTGCTCAATCGTCTGGTCCCCTTTACAGGCCATTATTTGAACATGTTCTACACTCTGTATCTAATTACTCTCATCCTACACTTTATTGAATGCACACTATTCTGACTCTTGCCTCCATCATGCTATCAAAACATTCTTGACTTTGTAAAGGTCAATAGTCAATGCCAATGGTCAATGTTGAGACTCCATCTTACTTGTCCTATTAATAGCATTTGACTCTTTTCTTAAAACAATTTCTTCATCTGACTTCTAGGACAGAACAGTCTCACTTTGTCTTGTAATTTCATCACCACTCATCAGTCTTCTTTCCTCATACATGCCATTCCATTACCATGTAGGGGCCTGGGAAATGTGAAATTTGAAATTGGAAAATTGCCCAACACAGTATAACAATGCTGGCATGTGATCACTTCCCTGGGGTCCTGAGACTGGGCTGACCCAACCAGATGACACCAATATAGCTGATACCAACACAGAAGTGCTGAAAGGTGGAGCCTCTCCTTCTATCTCCATGAAGAAGCAGCATTACCACCTCACACTACATGAGAGCCACAAAGCTGTCTATATTGAACTGGGTGAAGAGGTTCTACCCCAATTATCACTTCCTTAGAGAGCTATGGGACAGTAGTTTTTTATTTTATGGCTCTCAGCTACACTGTGGCCTGGAGATAGACAGCAGTGTGCATCTGAACTGAGAGTCACAAGGCCCAAGACAGGGATGTATTAGGGAAACAGATTGTGTTACTGACTACCCAGGTTGTGGATCAGTGCAGTTTCCTAACCCCCACAGAGAACTTCATGCTTTACAACAGAAGTTTCTCTGGTAACCTCTCTTTGGGCTGGTGCCTGTGCTCATCACTGGGGTATTTGCAGGTAATTAAGCTACTCCAGCTCTACCCAGATATATCTCTGTCACACACTGAATAGGAAGCTCAGGGCACTGATCATTCCACGGTCCATCCCATCACTTGAAACAACAGAAAGCCTCACACAGTAAACAAAGATCGAGTATATACCCATCTGCTTTGGCACAGCTGGCTCTTACTCATAAGTACCCTCTACTGGCCTGTGAATTGAACTGCGCAACTCAATGTAAAAACCTACCAACACAAGTGCCATAGGGCTATTGAAGCAAAGCCAAAATACACTACTCATGACACTCTACAATCACACCCTCAAGGGCAGAGGTATAAAGCAAAAATAGAGAAAAGAATTCCATCGGAATGAATGTAAATTCAAACCAAGAACTCTCGGCTTCTCCAAATGAGAAAAAAATCCAGTACAAGAATTCTTGCACCATAAAAAATCTGAATGTTGTGGTACTGTCAAAAAATTACACTAAGTCTCCAGCAATGGACTCTAATCAAAATAAAATTGAGAAACGTCAGGTATAGAATTCAAAGTATGGATTATAAGAAAGCTCAATAAGATCCAGAGAAGGTCAAAAACAAACACAAAGAAACTACAAAAGCAATCAAGGAAAGAAAAAAAGATATACTTATTTTGGGAAAAAACCAAAAATTTGAAAACAAAAAAATTCACTGAAGGAATTTTAAAATACAGTTTAAATCTTTGAGAGTAGACTAAACCAGCAGAAGAAAGCATTTCATATCTTGAAGACTAGTCTTTCAAATTAATCCAGTCAGAAATTTAAAAAAGAAAATAATTGTTATAAATGAACAAAGGCTTTGAGAAATATGGGATTATATAAAGCCATCAAATCTACAACTAATAAGCATTTCTAAGGAAGATGAAGAGAAGTAAGAAGTTTGAAAAACATAGTAGAAGAAATAATGCAGAAATATTTTCTTTATCCTGATAGACATTTAGAAATGAGATTCAAAAAATTCAGAGAATACCTGAAAGATACTATGCTAAATGTACATCGACAAGGCATACAGTCACCAGACCACCCAAGGTCAATAAGAATGAACAAATTTTAAAAGCAGCTACAGAGAAGCTACAAATCACCTCTAAAGAAAATCCTATTATACTAAACAGATTTAACAGCAGAAAACCTAAAAGTCGGAAGATATTGGGGGCCTATTTTTAGCCTTTTTATAGAAAAAAATGGAGAAATCATCTTTCACAGACAAGCAAATTTTAAGGGAATTTGTCACCACTAGACTAGCCCTTCAGGAAATGCTCAGAGGAATCTTAAATATAAAAATATTATGATACCATCATAAAAGGACATGAAGTACACAGGTCATAATTACTATACAGTAATTGCACAATTGAGTCTCTAAAGCAATTGGCTAACAAGACCATGACAGAAACAAAAGCTCATATATCTAGGTTAACCTTGAGCATAAATTACCTAAATCCTCCACTTAAAAGAAATAGAACAGAAAATTTGATAAAAGGACAAGACCCAACAGCTTTTATCTACAGGAGATCTACCATTAGGTCTAATGACACCTACAGATTTGTTTTCATTTACATGATATATCAATGTCAGCAAGCAGGACTAGCCATTCTTATACTAGATAAAACAGACTTTTATACCAATGATATTTTAAAAAGACAGAGAAGAGCATTATATTATAAAGATTCCATACAGCAAGAAGATTTAACCATCCTAAATATAAATGTATTCAATATTGGAGCACCCAGATTCATAAAAGAAATACTACTACACCTAAGAAAACAGACTGGGAGAAGTACAATAATAGTAAATGACATCAACACCCCACTTATAAATGTTGCAGATCATTGAGACAGAAAATCAGCCAAAAAAAAAACTCTCTGGACTTAAGCTGGAATATGAACCAAATGGACATCATAATCATTTACAGAACATTCTACCTAACAACTACAGAATACACATTTTTCTCACCTGCACATGAACCATTCTCAAAAATTGACCACATCCTTGGTTATAAAGCAAGTCTCAATAAAATTAAAAACTCAAAATCATATCAAGTATTTTTTCAGACTGCAGTTGAATAAAACTAGAAATCAATATCAAGAGGAACTCTCAAAGCTATACAAGTGCATGAAAAATTAAACAATGTGTCCCTGAACAACTTTTGGGTAAAGAATGAAATTCAGAATTCAACAGATTTTTTGAAATGAATGAAAATAGACATACAACATGCCAAAATCTCTCGGATATGGGAAAGCAGTGCTAAGAGATAAATTTATAGTGTTAAACCCTCCCTGAAAAGATAGAAAGACCTCAAACTCACCACCTAAAGTCACTTCTAAGGAACTAGAAAAATAAGAGCAAACCAAGCCCAAAGTTAGCAGAAGAAAAGAAATAAGAATGGTCACACCATAACTAAATGAAATTGAGACAAGAAAAAAAATAGGTATAAAGGATCAATGAGACAAAAATTTGGTTCTTTGAAAGGATAAACAAAATTGATAGTCAGCTAGCTAACAAAGAAAAAAAAAGAATATTCAAAAAAATACAATACAGAAAAGATAAAGGTGAGGCTGGACAAAGTGGCTTACGTCTGTAATCCCAGCACTTAGGGAGGCTGAGGCAGGGTCACTTGAGGTCAAGAGTTCGAGACTAGCCTGGCCAACATGGTGAAACCCCGCCTCTACTAAAAATACAAAAAACAGTAGCCAGGCATGGTGGTGTGTGCCTGTAATCTCAGCTACTTGGAAGGCTGAGGCAGAAGAATCGCTTGAACCTGGGAGGTCAAGGTTTCAGTGAGCTGAGATTGCCCCACTGCCCTCCAGCCTGGGCAACAGAGCGAGCCTCAAAAAAAAAAAAAAAAGAAAGAAATGATAAAGGTGACATTAAAACTGATATCAGAGAAATACAAGAGAGTATCAGTGACTCCTGTAAACATTTCTATGTGCACAAACTAGAAAATATAGAGACTTTGTCACCACCAGGCCTGCCCTAAAGGAGCTCCTGAAGGAAGCACTAAACATGGAAAGGAACAAACGGTACCAGCCACTGCAAAAACATGCCAAATTGTAAAGACCAGCGAGGCTAGGAAGAAACTGCATCAACTATCGAGCAAAATAACCAGCTAACATCATAATGACAGGATCAAATTCACACATAACAATACTAACTTTAAATGTAAATGGTCTAAATGCTCCAATTAAAAGACAGACTGGCAAATTGGATAAAGAGTCAAGACCCATCAGTGTGCTGGAAACCCATCTCACATGCAGAGACACACATAGGCTCAAAATAAAGGGATGGAGGAAGATCTATCAAGCAAATGGAAAACAAAAAAAGGCAGGGGTTGCAATCCTAGTCTCAGATAAAACAGACTTTAAACCAACAAAGATCAAAAGAGACAAAGAAGGCCACTACATAATGGTAAAAGGATCAATTCAACAAGAAGAGCTAACTATCCTAAATATATATGCATCCAATACAGGAGCACCCAGATTCATAAAGCAAGTCCTTAGTGACCTACAAAGAGACTTAGATTCCCACACAATAATAGTGGGAGACTTTAACACCCCACTGTCAACATTAGACAGATCAACGAGACAGAAAGTTAACAAGGATACCCAGGAATTGAACTCAGCTCTGCACCAAGCGGACCTAATAGACACCTACAGAGCTCTCCACCCCAAATCAATAGAACATACATTCTTTTCAGCACCACACCACACCTACTCCAAAATTGACCACATAGTTAGAAGTAAAGCTCTCCTCAGCAAATGTAAAAGAACAGAAATTATAACAAACTGTCTCTCAGATCACAGTGCAATCAAACTAGAACTCAGGATTAAGAAACTCACTCAAAACTGCTCAACTACATGGAAACTGAACAACCTGCTCCTGAATGACTACTGGGTACATAACAAAATGAAGGCAGAAATAAAGATGTTCTTTGAAACCAATGAGAACAAAGACACAACATACCAGAATCTCTGGGACACATTCAAAGCAATGTGTAGAGGGAAATTTATAGCACTAAATGCCCACAAGACAAAGCAGGAAAGATGTAAAACTGACACCCTAACATCACAATTAAAAGAGCTAGAAAAGCAAGAGCAAACATATTCAAAAGCTAGCAGAAGGCAAGAAATAACTAAGATCAGAGCAGAACTGAAGGAAATAGAGACACAAAAAACCCTTCAAAAAATTAATGAAACCAGGAGCTGGTTTTTTGAAAAGATCAACAAAATTGATAGACTGCTAGCAAGACTAATAAAAAAGAAAAGAGAGAAGAATCAAATAGACGCAATAAAAAATGATAAAGGGGATATCACCACCGATCCCTCAGAAATACAAACTACCATCAGAGAATACTGTAAACACCTCTATGCAAATAAACTAGAAAATCTAGAAGAAATGGATAAACTCCTTGACACATACATCCTCCCAAGACTAAACCAGGAAGAAGTTGAATCTCTGAATAGACCAATAACAGGCTCTGAAGTTGAGGCAATAATCAATAGCTTACCAACCAAAAAAAGTCCAGGACCAGATGGATTCACAGCTGAATTCTACCACAGGTACAAAGAAGAGCTGGTACCGTTCCTTCTGAAACTATTCCAATCAATAGAAAAAGAGGGAATCCTCCCTAACTCATTTAATGAGGCCAGCGTCATCCTGATACCAAAGCCTGGCAGAGACACAACAAAAAAAGAGAATTTTAGACCAATGTCCCTGATGAAATCGATGCAAAAATCCTCAATAAAATACTGGCAAACCGAATCCAGCAGCACATCAAAAAGCTTATCCACCATAATCAAGTGGGCTTCATCCCTGGGATGCAAGGTTGGTTCAACATATGCAAATCAATAAATGTAATCCAGCATATAAACAGAACCAAAGACAAAAACCACATGATTATCTCAATAGATGCAGAAAAGGCCTTTGACAAAATTCAACAACGCTTCATGCTAAAAACTCTCAATAAATTAGGTATTGATGGCACATATCTCAAAATAATAAGAGCTATCTATGACAAACCCACAGCTAATATCATACTGAATGGGCAAAAACTGGAAGCATTCCCTTTGAAAACTGGCACAAGACAGGGATGCCTTCTCTCACCACTCCTATTCAACAGTGTTGGAAGTTCTGGCCAGGGCAATCAGGCAGGAGAAGGAAATAAAGGGTATTCAATTAGGAAAAGAAGAAGTCAAATTGTCCCTGTTTGCAGATGACATGATTGTGTATCTAGAAAACCCCATTGTCTCAGCCCAAAATCTCCTCAAGCTGATAAGCAACTTCAGCAAAGTCTCAGGATACAAAATCAATGTGCAAAAATCACAAGCATTCTTATACACCAATAAAAGACAAACAGAGAGCCAAATCATGAATGAACTCCTATTCATAATTGCTTCAAAGAGAATAAAATACCTAGGAATCCAACTTACAAGGGATGTGAAGGACCTCTTCAAGGAGAACTACAAACCACTACTCAATGAAATAAAAGAGGATACAAAGAAATGGAAGAATATTCCATGCTCATGGGTAGGAAGAATCAATATCATGAAAATGGCCATACTGCCCAAGGTAATTTATAGATTCAATGCCATCCCCATCAAGCTACCAATTACTTTCTTCACAGAATTGGAAAAAACTACTTTAAAGTTCATATGGAACCCAAAAAGAGCCCGCCTCACCAAGTCAATCCTAAGCCAAAAGAACAAAGCCGGAGGCATCATGCTACCTGACTTCAAACTATACTACAAGGCTACAGTAACCAAAACAGTATGGTACTGGTACCAAAACAGAGATATAGACCAATGGAACAGAACAGAGCCCTCAGAAATAATGCCGCATATCTACAACTATCTGATCTTTGACAAACCTGAGAAAAACAAGCAATGGGGAAAGGATTCCCTATTTAATAAATGGTGCTGGGAAAACTGGCTAGCCACATGTAGAAAGCTGAAACTGGATCCATTCCTTACACCTTATACAAAAATCAATTCAAGATGGATTAAAGACTTACATGTAGACCTAAAGCCATAAAAACCCTAGAAGAAAACCTAGGCAATACCATTCAGGACATAGGCTTGGGCAAGGACTTCATGTCTAAAACACCAAAAGCAATGGCAACAGAAGCCAAAATTGACAAATGGGACCTAATTAAACTAAAGAGCTTCTGATAGCAAAAGAAATTACCATCAGAGTGAACAGGCAACCTACAGAATGGGAGAAAATTTTTGCAGCCTACTTATCTGACAAAGGGCTAATATCCAGAATCTACAATGAACTCAAACAAATTTACAGGGAAAAAACAAACAACCCCATCAAAAAGTGGGCAAAGTATATGAACAGACACTTCTCAAAAGAAGACATTTATGCACCCAAAAAATACATGAAAAAATGCTCATCATCACTGGCCATCAGAGAAATACAAATCAAAACCACAATGAGATACCATCTCACACCAGTTTGAATGGTGATCATTAAACAGTCAGGAAACAACAGGTGCTGGAGAGGATGTGGAGAAATAGGAACACTTTTACACTGTTGGTGGGACTGTAAACTAGTTCAACCATTGTGGAAGTCAGTGTGGCGATTGCTCAGGGATCTAGAACTAGAAATACCATTTGACCCAGCCATCCCATTACTGGGTATATACCCAAAGGATTATAAATCATGCTGCTATAAAGACACATGCACACGTATGTTTATAGCGGCACTATTCACAATAGCAAAGACTTGGAACCAACCCAAATGTCCAACAACGATAGACTGGATTAAGAAAATGTGGCACCTATACACCATGGAATACTATGCAGCCATAAAAAATGATGAGTTCATGCCCTTTTTAGGGACATGGATGAAACTGGAAACCATCATTCTCAGCCAACTATCACAAGGACAAAAAACCAAACACCGCATGTTCTCACTCATAGGTGGGAATTGAACAATGAGAACACATGGACACAGGAAGGGGAACATCACACTCTGGGGGACTGTTGTGGGGTGGGGGGAGTCGGGAGGGATAGCATTAGGAGATATATCTAATGCTAAATGACAAGTTAATGGGTGCAGCACACCAACATGGCACATGTATACATATGTAACAAACCTGCACGTTGTGCACATGTACCCTAAAACTTAAAGTGTATAATAATAAAAAAAAATAGAGAAAATAGATAAATTCCTGGAAACACACAACCTCCCAACATTGAATCAGGAAGAAATAGAAATCCAGAGCAGACCCATAATGAGTAATGAAAAATACTCTGTAATTAAATCAAATCAGTAATTAAAAATTTTCTAGTGAAAAATAGCGTGGGACCAGAGAGATTCACAACTCAATTCTGCCACACATGGAAAGAAGAGCTGGTACCAATTTTATGGAATCTCTTTTAAAAAAATGTGGAGACATTCCTCCCTAATTGTTCTACTAAACTAGTATCATCCTGATACCAAAATCAGGCAAAAACAGAACAGAAAAATAAAACTAGAGGAACATATCCTTGGAAAACATGGTCACAAATATTCTTAACAAAATACTAGCAAACTAAATCCAATAGCACATCAAAAAGATAATTCGTCATGACCAAATGGATTTCATTCCAGGGATGCAAGGATGATTAAACATACACAAATCACTGAACATGATTACACCACGATTCACCATATAAACATACTTAAAAGCAAAAAAAAAATGATCATCCCAACAGATGCCGAGTTTTGATAAAATGCAACATAAAACCTTTATGATAAAAACTCTCAGTAAACTAGACATCAAGGGAACATGACTCAAAATAATAAGGGACATCTAGGACAAATTAACAGCCAATGTCATATTGCATGGAGAAAACTTGAAAACCTTTCCCCTAAGAACTGGAACAAGACAAGGATGTCCACTCCACCACTCCTATTCAACACAAAATTGGAAGTACTATTCATGGCAATCAGGTAAAGAAAATAAATAAAAGGCATTTAAGTAGCAAAAATAAAAGTCAGATTATTTTTGTTTGCTGATGACAGGATTATATACCTAGAAAACCCTAAAGGTTCCTCAAAAAGACTCCTAGATTTAATAAACAACCTCAGTAAAGTTTCAAGAGGAGTGGACCAAGGAGCAGAAGCTCAATCTAGACAGTAAAACTCCCTCTATTTAAGGCAGAATCATCCAGAGAATTGCTAGAATGGAGAATGTTTTTTCCTCTTATGATAAAGTACAATGATCCTTCTAAGACAAACAGAATGCATCATGCAAGTAGGTTTAGGGTGAATGCCATGTAGCTTCTACTTCTCTCTTGCAACTTGGAGATATTAGAAAAAACACTGACAGAAAGAAGCAAGAAATCAGGAGCTCACTGGTTTCTTCTTCTGTCCTCTTCCCCATGGGGCTGAGGGCTCCTGATGAGTGATCAAATGCTAGGAGAGGATGAATGGTACCACATTATTACCAGTGCCCAGGACAGATGCTAAGCTGGGCAGTGATGTTTTGCAGAGAAGCCTCAGGGGAGAGACACAGGAGAGGGAAGAAAATGGGGAGTAATGCTGCCTTTGAATTCACACCTAGAAAGGAGGCAGAATCAGGATTAGTGAACAATATTCAGGATTTTGCTTAGTTGGTTGGCTTTATGGGAGTCCTGAGAATGTTGGCTGGTGCCAAAGTTGAACGATGTACTGAGAGAAACAGCCTTCCCTGAGTAAAGTAAAATTATGTCATTAACCACAAAATATATTTCTTATATACAATGATTGTTTTTCAGAGACTCTCAAAACAAGTGCTTATTTTGGAGGAATATTTTTATTCATGTGAAAGCAAGTTTTTGGTCAATGCAAGCATTTTGGCCACATAAGTCAATGGCCACTGCGGCCCAACTGTCCCTCAGAACAAATGTGTTTAATGAAGGTGACACCATCCTTATAAAATCAATAAAACTGAATGAATGTCTAGGTTTTTAGCAAAATCAAAGCTTTTGAGTTGAAGGGTAGTTAAACATTAACCAGCTATGCCCCACAGGCCACTTTCTTATAGCTGCTTATAGCTTATAGCCTGTATTACAAGGCCCTAACTTCTATAGATAACTTCTGTAATGTGAAGAAGTTTCAAATTTTCCATATTTTCCAGATCCTGCATTCCAACAGATCCACTGATACCATCCTGTGTAAATACCCACTTTAAGGAACTGATTTGATCCTAGAATGCACTTACTATATCTTTATGTTTTCATCCCCCACACCCTAACTAATCAGTAACCCCCCCACTCCTCAGCCCTCTATCTGCCAAAAGTCCCTTGAAAACCCCATTCTAAAACTCCTTGGGGCAGTGAATTTGAGGTTGCGTCCTACCTCCTCCTTTGGCCGTCATTTGATCATTCAACTCTTTGTCAGTGGCAACTCCCGCTATTTTGGTGTGTTGGTTTGTTACTACACAGTGAGCACAAACATGGTGGTCCAATACAGAGGCTCTTCCTGTCAGGTGTCAACCAGAAAGTTCATCTAACACTACGAAGAAAGTGAGACACAGATAGTGGCTTCCTTAAGATCCTTCCATCCTTCCTAAACACTACACATTCAATGGCAGGCTCTGTGAAATCTTTGTTTGTTTGTTTGTTTGTTTGTTTGAGACGGAGTCTCAGTCTGTCACCCAGGCTGGAGTGGTGCAGTGGTACAATCTCAGCTTACTGCAACCTGCACCTCCTGGGTTCAAACAATTCTTCTGCCTCAGCCTCATGAGTAGCTGGGACTAGAGGTGCATGCCACCATGCCCAGCTAATTTTTGTATTTTTATTAAACATGGGGTTTCACCATGTTGGCCAGGCTGGTCATGAACTCCTGGCCTCAAGCAATCCACTTGCCTTAGCCTTCCAACATGCTGGGATTACAGACATTAGCTACCGCACCCAGCCAGGCTCTGAGAAATCTTATAATTACAAAACTAAAGGTGATAATTATGCAAGTAAGTATACTTGCACAAGGAAAGATTTTTTTCTCAACACGATTTTTAACATTTTCACACACTCATTCACATTCCCATACAGTGTTTCCCATCTCCACATCTTAAGATGTTCTTACTCCACATCTTAACCAGACGCTCTTACCGGCCTATGTCCGGACATGGGCAGTGAGAGGGAAGGAAAGAAAAAAGACAAAGATCTTGGCACTGATGGACCTCAGTTATGTAAATACCAGTATAGAGGCCGTGCACAATTCCTTCATTGCCATTGTCCAGGTCATGTTTGCTCATTCCCTGACTCTGATTCATTATTTCGCTTTAACTTTTCTGCTTTGCATACCATGCAGATACCCCTGCAGGTGCAAAGAAAATTTTCTTTCCTCGCCCTTCTGAAGTTTTGGTGACTTGATTACATAAGATACACTGACAATGGAATAATTAACATAAAATGCATATAAATTCATATACATGTACATGGAGCAGCAAATATGAGACTCCAAGCAGGACCAGATGATTGAAGATTTCCTCACATCCTGAGGCTACAGAGAGAATAGGGGCTTGGGGTCTCTCGGGGAGGTGGGGTCTCAGGTAATGGGGGAGAGAGAGAGGTATGCTTGGTGAGCCAAGGCTGTCCCCACACAGATGTGAGTCTCTCAGGGGCTCCCCAAGCTGCCCTCAGGAAGATAGACAGTGGCCTATGGAGAAGTTTCTCAGTCAGACCTTTAAAGCATTAGGATCTCAGTCTGTTTTTCCTGGGAGTTAATCTTTCCTTGATCCAATTAGGCAGATAAGGTGGGGGTGGGGTGTGCCTCAGAGAAATGCTTTTCTCCTCTGTTCACTTCACTAACGTGTATTTCCTCAGCACTTGCAAATCTCTGCCAGAGAAGAAAGCTTTTCAGGGCTATTTCTGTGTCTGCAGCCTCTCTGAATTGTAGCCCCTCTTAACAGCAAGATCAAAATATACCAAAAAAGTACATTTTGAGTGGCACATTTTGTTTTATTGCACCCTGTATGACAAGTCTTAAAAGCTAAGAGTGCACCATGAGCTCCTCAGTTGGGGGCCCCACTCCTGCCTCCTGGGAAGGCAGATACCACCCTCAGACACACTGGACAAGAGCATCAATAAATGAAATGATTTTAAAACAAATAGCTCCATTTTATGTGCCTATTTCCAACCACCTGGCACAAAAGTAAAACACCTGTGCAACTCAGAACAAGTACAATGATCCAGGCTGGCTACTGGAAGGTCTAGCATGCCATCCAAGTCCTCTAGTCATGGTAAGTCAGCAAGACTCACAAGGAGACTGGAGTTAACACTATCGAGACACCTTTACATGAACACGTCTAGTGAGTGTTAATGCCTTAAAGAAGGTGGAGGAGAAATGTCTGCACCCAACAGCAGAAGGGCCTGTTCTACTCATCACTGCAGACCAGGCATCTGAAGCTCTTCTTGTCTTATTTAACCTTGAGGCAAATAGTCCCTTGCTTCAATGGCAAATATTTTCAACTTACCATGCTATTCACAAAGCAGAGATAACAGCATTTAAACCACATGTGCTCTTAATCTCTCTGGGCCCTGCCTATATGTATGAACAAATTTAAATTACTTGCATGTCCTCCAGTGAGATCCCTATTCTATTTAAAAATCATATTGAGGAATATGTCGGACTGGAGAGAAAATCAACTCACGAACAGGTACTGTACTTTGCTGATGACCTGCCTTGCATTTAACCCTTTTTTCATTTGACCCAAGAATTCTCACCAGTGGCACTCGTGGTGGCAGTTTACCCTGAGAAAACTTTGCCACAAACTATCTCGCTTTTATGATTATGATTATGGTTATTATTATTTGAGACAGATTCTTGCTCTGTTGACCAGGCTGGAGTGCAGTGGTGCAATATCAGTTCACTGCAACGTCCGCCTCCCAGGTTCAAGTGATTCTACCTGCCTCAGCCTCCCGAGTAGCGGGGACTACAGGCACATGCCACCATACCTGGCTAATTTTTGTATTTTCAGTAGAGACGAGGTTTCACCACCATTCACTGGCCAGACGAGGTTGGCCAGGCTGGTCTCGAACTCCCAACCTCAAGTGATCCACCCGCATCAGCCGCCCAAAATGTTAGGATTAAAGGCATGAGCCACCGCACCTGACTTATTATTATTTTTGAATCACTCTAGTATGTTGACTTTGGAAACAAAAGACATCATTCCTTTTATAGCTTTCTGTTTTTGTAATGGTATTTCCATTTACAAAATATAGTAATCATATTTTCAGCTCACTGACAATGTCACATCTTAGAAAATGTAGGATTCTTACCTGTGATATTTGCATCCTTCTTGAACAGTTGTTGGCTGAAGATTCATTTGATGAATCGATTTTTCAAAAGAGATGATTCTGATGATTCAAAGAATTCTGATCTTAGTTCTGTTTAGAAATAACTCCGAGAACAGTTTTTATATGTTATTTTTACATTGAAAATCGGTCAGATTTGCTTCAACCTCAAGGAACATGTTAATGTAAAACTAAATGGGCACTGGCAGTGAGCTGCACCTTTTTTTTTCTTTTTTCTCTAAAGGGAAAAGGATTAAATGTTTGGTTAGTTTCAATGGCAAGCAAACCATCCTGCCATTTTACTAAGGGGAATGTTCAGCAAAAACCAAACTCCTTGCCCAGACAGGCAAGCAATTAAATCAACTTTAATGTTTTACCCATTGTCTTCAGAAATCCATTCAAAAGACAAACCTTGCATTTCCATAATAGGACACAGTGACTTGGTGCCAGTCTCTTAAGAATAAAGTACTTAGCTAGGGTAGGGAGTCAAGAAGAAATGGGAATTGTGGAACTCCAGTTTCCCACAAGAACATCATTCTAACAAGCAACAGAAGGAAATGAAAACCTATAGTCTTGACATGACCCATTAATTTCTGGGGAGATAACTGTAGCTTCCTTGCTTTTTGATTTTTCTCCCCTGGATGCCAAGAATATATAAAATCACATTTTCAGGTATCCATACAGACCCTCTTCTCTCTATGAGAGAAAAATACCCAGGGCTTGTGGGGATACAGGGCCCCTTTGGTCAAGTGATTAGTTCTTTGCTCCTCAAAACTCAGTCCAACGTGGTTTTTCCAATGTGGAGGTGGACAAGAGGGGAATATTAACCTCATCACTAAACCACCACGAATGTTCTTTAGTGAAAAAAAAAGATTATCCTGTTTAACCAGGGAAATGGCTAGAGATTTCAATGAACAATTCAAGTTCATGTAAAGAATTTAATGAGTTCAATAATCCCAATGAGGTGCTGAAACAGAGACCACAGTGGATGTGAGACAACCAAATACAAAGATATTTTAATTTTATGCATGACTTCAAAAACCAGATTTTTCATTATGTGCGCCAAGTAGCCACATAATTCTGGGCATGACTGTTTAAAACAGGAATGTGCAAATAAAGCAAAGGCAGTGCTCCTTTGGCTGGGTAATGGCGTAGCATGTCAGGAGGGAGAACTTCCCCCAGACAGAGCTCTATGCATGACAGTGAGGAATCAAGTGAGTTTTACGATATGTCTTATAGAGCCTAAAAATGAGACACATGAAAAGAGATGCTTCCAAAAACAACAGAAGGAAATAGAAGGCATGAATTAGTACAGAGCATGTGATAGTGTAAGCCATAAATGAAAGACAACAGGAAAATTTCACCATCAGTAACAAGCAAAGAAAAATGTAGATGAAGCCGGATCAAGGAAAAGCTGAACATTGGAAACTGCAAAATTTTATAAAGTAGTGTCTTAGTCCATTTCCTGCTAATATAATGGAATACCTGAGACTGGGTAATTTATGCAGAATAGAGATTAGTTTTTTACAATTCTAGAGTGGAGAGAGAGAGAGAGAGACAGAGAGAACAAACTCAACTTTTTATCAGGATTTCAATCTCCGATAACTAACTCACCTGAGATAATAGCAATAATTAATGAATGAGGCAAATCCCTCATGATCTAATTATCACTTAAAGGTCCCACATCTCAACACTATTGCATTGAGGATTAAGTTTCCAACACATGGACTTTGGAGAACACATCAAACCATAGCAAGTAGGTAACACAGAATTTTAATTTCCTAGGACACAACTACTAGAGTTGTTGCTATGATTTGAGAACTACTGTTACATCATCTTATTTAAGTGTGTTTTGTGTGTTTGCAACCGTAAAAACAGGCTTAAATGCAAGTGAAAGGTGGTTGCTAAAAGGATCCTGGGTGATTCCAAAAATAAAGGGTGAAACAACTGGGATTTGAATAGCTCAGAAACCAGTGCAGCTCAGGATATCTTAGCCCCAGCAACCTGTGCCCCTCCATCTCTCTAGAGCCCCCCTAGTAATACATCCGAGCCCCCGTGACTCCCATATTCCTTGACTTTTTTTTTTTTGAGATGGAGTTTTGCTCTTATTGCCCAGGCTAGAGTGCAATGGCATGATCTTGGCTCACTGCAACCTCTGCCTCCCGGGTTCAAGTGATTCTCCTGCCTCAGCCTCCCGAGTAGGTGGGATAGGAGGCATGCACCACCATGCCCGGCTAATTTTGTATTTTTAGTAGAGACAGGGTTTCTTCACGTTGGTCAGGCTGGTCTCAAACTCCCAACCTCAGGTGATTCGCCCACCTCAGCCTCCCAAAGTGCTGGGATTACAGGCATGAGCCACAATGCCTGGCCATTCCTTGACAAATGGCTTTTTTCCACATGACAAATTCCCTTGGGAAAAGCTCTGATTGAGAATAAGTGTCTACCAGTAGATCAATCCTTTATGGTCCGACAGGGTGTTAAAAAAAACTTATTTATGACATTTCCTAAAACACAGTGAGAAATACTTCACTCAAGGGGGGCCATGGCGTTAGATGTAGGGCCACTTAATTTGGGTCTTTCTGTGGGAGAGCGATCATGCTGGTGGGGGCCAAGGGAAAAAATTTTCTCTACCTTCTTAAGTTCACTAAAAATTCACCTAACAAAAGGCAGATTAGAAAGAGAAAAGGCACACAAACTTATGACCATGTGTAGGGGAGAACCACAGAGCAACGTGTAAACCATCTAAGTTTATAAAAAAAAAATGAGAGAGGGACTTAAATCTTGGCAAAACAGATTGTAGTGGCAACATGGGTTATGGGAGGGAGAAAAGAGGAGGCCTGGCTAGCAGAGGTCTTGTTATTGTCAACCAAAGAATGATGAGACAGGTCTCAGTAATTTTAGGAGATTTATTTGCCAAAGTTGAGGATGCACCCAGGAGACAGGTCTATGCCTTTCTCTGATTTTGAGGGCTCCAAATTTAAAGGGGAAAGGGCGGGATATTGAGAAGCACACAGTTCTCACATCAACAACAGGGGGCAGAGGAAAAATATGGGGACTCTGCATTTTACATAAGATAACACAGACAAAATGGGGTAGGTGAACAATCGGAAATGCATTTGTGTCTGTGGGGTGACCGCAACTGTAAAGATAAGCTATGGATTTGTATCACCATGGTGAAGTTTCAACAGCTCACCAGGAATTTCCTTGTGGACAAAATATGGGGGAGGTGGGTAGCCTTTCATCTTGTAGCCATCTTATTTAGGAACCAAAAGAGGGAGGCAGGTTTTTGTGTCCCAGTTCCTGGCTAGAATTTTCTCTTTGGCTAAAAGAGTTTCGGGTACCAAAATTTAATCTTCTTGCACACTATGTCAATGAAACCTCACAGATAGCAGCACTTAAGAGAAGAGATGGAAAATGTTTTCTTCAGACCTTTAAAGATGTCAGACCGTCAGTTAATCTTTCCTAAGTCAAAGGGAAAGCCTCAGAGAAAGCCTGGCTGCATCCAAGCAGAGTTTCTCTACAGGTGCAAGCCTCTCTCATAACAGACAGTTTTCAGCTGTTCTTGTATTTCCTGCCCTTCTGAATAGCCATCTTGAAATTTGTCAAAATACTTTCTTTTAGAGTATGGACCCCCAAAATCTGAGAGAGGTCTCAGTTAATATAGAGAGTTTATTTTGCCAATATTGAGGACAAATGACCATGACACACCCTCAGGAGGTCCTGAGGATATGTGTCCAACGTGGTCGGGGCACAGCTTGGTATCATACATTTTAGGGAGACATGAGACATCAATCAACACATGTATGATGAACATTGGTTCAGTCCGGAAAGGTGGGACAACTTGAAGTGGGGAGGGGGCTTCCAGGTCATAGATAGATAAGAGACAAATGGTTACATTCTTTTGAGTTTCTGGTTAGCCTCTGCAAAGGAGGCAATCAAATATGTAATTATCTCGGTGAGCAGACGGGTGACTTTGAATAGAATGGGGGGCAAGTTTGTGCTGAGCAGTTCCCAGCTTGACTTTTTTCTTTAGCTTAGTGATTTTGGGGCCCTAAGATTTATCTTCCTTTCCCAAGAGTGAAATATTTTGGTTTCCTTCAAGCTCAACTCTGCCTTCAACCAAGACAAGTGGGGATTTACAACCACAGAACAGGGTGAGGTCAAGGAGGAAGAATTACTAACAAGAAGCACCCAAGGTGAGGGTGATGTTCTTGATAGCAGCAAGGCAGAAACTCTGGAATACCAAAATACAGTCATGGCAGTCTTTTCATTTTTCTCATGTCTCCTTGGTACTAATCAAATATGTCAATGCTCTGCCCTTGGCCCTCTTGAGAAGGTGGGGTTTTCAATTCTTCATATGGTTCTGTGATCTGGGCTGGAGCTGCTCGCTGAGTCATGTGGGTAAGACTGAGAGAGAAAGGGGGTCCATGTGCTCAGGACAGTGGATGTAATTGGGCTGTCCCACTGAGGAGTCTGTGTAGGGGAGGGTTGTTCTATGTCTTCCATTATGTTACCAAAGGTAGAAATTATGGGCCTATGGGGATCTCCAATCTCAATCTTTTACCTAATTTGGGACAACTGTCAAGTCTGTTCTCCTTTATATTGGAGAATAATGTTAAAAATGAAATCTCCTGCCATTCTACAAAACTCTCTATAAAGTAGAAAATAAAGAAAATAATTTTCTTATTAAAAAAGCATTAGGGCTGGGTGCAGTGGCTCACACCTGTAATCCCAGCAATTTGGGAGGCTGAGGCAGGCGGATCATGAGGACAAGGGTTCGAGACCAGCCTGGCCAACATGGTGAAATCACATCTCTACTAAGAATACAAAAATTAGCTGGGTGGGGTGGTGCCTGCCTGTAATCCCAGCATCTTGAGAGGCTAAGGCATGTGAATCACTTGAACTCAGGAGGCGGAGGTTGCAGTGAGCCAAGATTGTGCCACTACACTCTAACCTGGGAGAAAGAGCAAGACTCTGTCTCGAAAATAAATAAATAAACAAATAAAATTTAAAAAGCATTAAACCAGGCTGCAATGTGCATCACAGGTAACATGCTAAAGAGATTACAAAGACAGAAAGAAATCTCACCCCTTTATATAGCCAAGAAATATAATCCTTACATGCATCTTCTTGAGATAAATGATAACTGGTCTTCATGTAATAAGGCCTAACACCACCATTTTTTATAACATTCTTTCAAACATTCTTTTTATAACATTCTCCATCCTAAATTCACCTGGTAATTGGGGTATCCTTCTGTGCTAGACAGTCACCTTTATCCCAAGGAAAAATAACATTTCTTTATGACAAGCAGGCAGTTGTAGCTTGGAGTAAGGGGCCCATGGAGATAGGAAGTTATCTTTCTTGATATTTTCATTTCCAAAGAGTTGTCTCTCTTACCCTTAACACAACACTGGCAGGTTGCAATTCTGGCTAGAGGCTTAGTCAGCTTTTCAAAAAACTGACATGCATAATAAAGGGACTAAGGAAGAGTTTACAAATACAATTTTTTTCTTAAGAAAATAGTCTAAGACATGAGCATAGAAGAAAAGGTCTCTATCCTTATTGGCAACAGGAAAAACTCAGCTTTTACAAATGACCCTTACATTTGCCTAGAAACTTGAAGTTCAAGCAAGCATGCTTTCTAAACAGAAGGCTTTAAAGATTCTAATTGCAGTCACATACTCTCCTCCCTGAGGTGGATCATTACCTCGTATTTTAGTGATCAAATATAAGCATTTATTTTGACTTATGCCAGGGTTTGGCCATAAATTAAACACATTTGTAAATCCCTAATACTTAAATTGCTGCTCAATAGTACTAGAACCCAGAGATAAGTGTCACATAGGCTGGTCTTCATTCCCACCTGTCTGTAGCTATTAAATCATAAGAGCCAGAAAAAAAACAAATTCTGCTATTGCTAAAGTCAAAGACAAAGAAAGCTGGGTACTGATTAACATGGTGAGGACAGGTTTTATCAGTAACATAACATCGCAGTAGAGAAGAGGTCCAGCGTGAACTGAACTGAACTATGATCTATGCAAGATGACTCAGCATTTTAAAGGGAAAATGAGGGAGAAGGGAAAGGCTGAGCAGAGACTGAGTGGAATCAGCCAAGCGGAAAATTACAAAAAGTAGGAAGGGGCTGCTTGGGCCATGTGATTAGTCCCTCTGGGTTTGCTAACTGGAACTAAGGGAAGTTGGACTCCTGCCCTCTGTGAGACTGGGAGACAGGCATTTCTTCAGACATTGCTGGAACAAATACTGAATTCTTTTGGAAGCCGTGAGTTTTCTCAGGCTGGCTCTTTAACAGGGCTTGGTTATCTATTGATGTAGCCTTGAACTGTTAGAAATTATGTTTGGGTGTGTTCAGATCCTTACAGACCAAGGCGAGGCCTATTTCAAAAGAGACTCAGAGGAGCCTGGGGAAAGTCTGTTCAAGAAGAGAATCCGTGCCACTGTGTGGGGTGGTCTGTGCCTTAGTCACCGTGAGTTGTGAAAAACAGGTGTTACCAGTACTGACACGCCTCTAAGGAGTCTTTGTCATATTTGATTTGGTCCTCATGCTCTTTGGATTTTACTCTCATTATGTAGAGAGGGAATAGACAGAGCCCATGAGAGCAGGGAGAGTCTCTGCCACTGATCTCCCTTGCTTATTTATTCTCTTGCTCCTGATCTCTTACTCTCCTGCTTTGCACCATGGAGCACCACAGCAGGAAGGCTCTCATCCAATGAGATCACTATGGCCTTGGAATTTCCAGCCTCTGGAGCCATTAGCCAAATATACCTCTATTGTGTAAGAACCAGCCAGTTACAGTTATTTTGTTATAGCAACATAAAGCACAGTAAGATACAGCCATATAATTCTCTGTAAATAAGTGGAAATCCATTGTGAGGCAACAAAAAGAAATGTTTCCAGAGTAGCTGGGACAATCCACTTCAGCCCATCAATACCACCCCATAGAAGCAAAGCAGACATGAAGATCACCTATCAGGGCTCCTAAAATACCCCCAAAACACTGGTTAAGTCTAAGCCTCCTTCTAACAGGCTGTCTTAGTTCATGACAGCTGCTATAACAAAAGACTGCAGACTGGTTAGTTATAAATATCAGGCATGGATTGCTCACAGATCTGGAGGCTAGAAGCTCAAGATCAAGTGCAGACAAATTTAGTGTCTAGTGAGGCCCTGCTTCCTGACTCATAGATAGCTGTCCTCTTTCTATCCTCATGTCACAAAAGGGACAAGCACTCTCTCTTGAATCTCTTTAACAAGGACACTAATCCCATTTATTATGGTTCCACACTCAAGATCCAATTGAGACAGAAAAATAGGGTCTGGAGACAGGGAACACAAGGCCAATTCACACTTCAGCTATGACAGGAAATGTCCTCTCCATAAGGTATATTCCAGGTAAATGACTTTGTAACCTCACTTCACCCTTTTCATTTACATAGTGTGTACACCAGGCAACCAGTGAAAATCCCTAGAGAGTATTTAAACCCCCACAAATTCTGTAACGAGGCCCTTGAGCCACTACGCTCAGGCCCACTTCCACAATGTGGAGTGTACTTTTATTTTCCATAAATATCTACTTTTGTTGCTTCATTATTTCTTTGCTTTTTTGTGCATTTTGTTGAATTCTTTGTTCAAGATGCTGAGAACCTGGACACCCTCCACTGGTAACATATTTTGCTGAGCCAGCCAGGAGAAATTCCAGCAGAAGCTAGGCCCAAAGATTAGGATTTATTTCTCTCCTTTCCTTTCTGTTTCATACAGGGGAATCTCTCCTTGGTGGGCAGTGCCTAAACACAGAGAAAACTGCAGAATTCTGGCTATGGCCAGTGAAAACTAAGGGTGTCCATGTGAAGGCACCTAACCGTCACCAACCAGTTTGCTTAAGGGACCTGGGTCTTCTCTTTTTTTCCTTTCTTTCATTTTCAGCCTCTCAACAACTGCTTTCTAGCAGCTCCTTGAAAATTGAAGGCAATTGGCTGGAGTCACTCCCAGGTATTGCCTGAAGGCCTAGGAATGAATGGGACTATTTGCCCTGCGCAGAAGGCGGAAGGGCTCTTTTCCTTTTTTTTTTTGAGACAGAGTTTCACTCTTATTGCCCAGGCTGGAGTGCAATGGTGTGATCTCAGCTCACCACAACCTCTGCCTCCTGGGTTTAAGCAATACTCATGCCTCAGCCTCCCAAGCAGTTGGAACTACAGGTGCCTGCCACCATGCTGGGCTAATTTTTGTATTTTTAGTAGACGGGGGTTTCACCATGTTGGCCAGGCTCATCTTGAACACCTGACCTCAAGTGATCCACCTGTCTTGGCCTCTCAAAGTGCTGGAATTACAGGCATAAGCCACCATGCCTGGCCAGGAATTCTTGCTTTTTAGGGTTTCGCTTAAGTTTTAGGTTATAAGGATAAGAATTCTAGTTAACACATAATTCAGTAGGCAAAATGTGCTGGAAAAGATTATGTTAGTAGTGAGAAAAAGAATAACTTTGTATAATTCAGAAGTTATCAAATTCTAACTAACTTTTTGGATTTTAGGCTTCTAGACAGTTTAAGCATGTTGAATATACTTTCATAAATAGAATTTGAGTTCTATTTCTCTCTCTGCCTAATTTCTTCAAAATTTGTAAACTATTTGTGAATATTCTTAATTCATGGCAATATGTTTGTCTGCATACAGTTGAGCAGGGTCCCTAGGGCCACTCAGGGAGAAAGAACCCAGAAACCAGACATGCTTGCAAAAGAATATTTCTTACCAGTTAGTCTCTGGTCTCTTTCGCTCTGTGCAAACTGGTTAAATGAAAGGTAAAAGTCACCATTTGTCCCTTCTGTAAAGTTTTAAATTGGTTTAATAATAATATAAGAGCTTAAATCAAATATTTTGTCAGAAAAGTGAAAAATGTAATGCTTTTTATTTAGTTCATGTGACTTGAGTAATCTTTAGGAAATAAACAGTTTTAAAGATTATTGGTAAAATACAGTTGTCTTGAAAATGTAAACATGTGGTCTAAGTTATGTTCAAATATTAGGTTTGCTAAATGCTTTAAGGTCATAAACTGCTTCTTTGGTGTTTGAAATTTGTTTAACTTGCCTGCTTTCCAGCTAGGTAAGGCCTGAGGACAGCCCACTCGGGATGGCCCTGGGGGCTTCTGAGATGAAAGAGGCCTTCTTGGGAGGCTCCCAGCATTCCCTGTGCTCTTGCCTCTTCTCCCCTCTGCCTGCCTGAAGATCCCCCTGAGTCCCTGCCACCCCCTCTCCATGGGGAGTTGGCCATGCCCCTAACTATGCTGGAAACATTCTAATCTTATCAGAACACAACTTAGCAGGTTTTACATTACAATTAAGATTGCTAGGAGTCACCATTAACATGTAATTAAGATTACTAGAAACAGTTTTATATGCAAGATGTGTAAGAATAGTAAAATGTGTTTTTTTTTTTTTTTTGGTAAAAGGTTATAAAGGGTTTTTGCTTAAAATTTCTGAGTCATCATTTTGGCAAAATAAGTAATTTAGGGCAATCTGGAATTCCAAAATCAAACTTCAGTTTCAAAATTGTCTTTTCTAATGCCTGGCTTTTTGGATGGATCAGATGGCCCCTGAAAACATCCAGAAAAGAGGTAAACAAGATTATTTAACATGTTTAGGTACATGGGATCACCAAAATGATGTTCAATCTTCTTTAGGTTATATTTTGTGAATAATGCTAATGTATGTTCTAAGATTATATGGAATTTCTAAAATTCAAATGTCTAATTATATGCCATCAACTATAATTATGATTATTATGTTACTATAAACCATAGAAATAACCAAATTTTCTTGTATAAAGCTACTAATCCAAGTAGAACAAAAAAATTAATCAAATACCAAGAAAATACTTTGTCAGATTTTCATGTTAAACAAGCTAATACTAAAATTATTTAAATATACAATTTGAATAAACTCCATGGTCTGAGTCAAATCACCCATGGTAACTCATCAGCTATCAGTACAATGCACCTAATTTGGAGAATCAACTGGTATTCAAGAGGATATAAGTCTAATGTTAATCAAGTTTAGACTCATGGAGAACCAGGATGGCCACATTGTCCTTCCTGAGTCCTTAAAGCATTTATTATTAAAAGTTCTGCACTCCATGACTCACCATGGAAAAGATAAAATAATCCAATTTGAGTACATTGGTGTGGAAACTTACAAATTACTAACATAGTTTATAACTATTGTTTGGCCCCATATTCCTGGGAATACAAAGCTTCAGGTACATTCAGTTACCTGGTGTGCAATTTAGACATTTTATGAAAGGATGTCATTCAATTGTTATTTTCAATGCATGTTTTCTGGTTGTATAAAAGCTTTCCCATGCAAGAGGGCTGGTGTTATAACAGTAGATTATTATGCTACAGTATATTTTCACCAGGTAAAAAAAGCTTTCAATTGTTTGGATCTTCTGAGAACATCAGAAGATCTTGCCATCTGCACTACAACAAAACTTTGGGACCTTGAACTTTGGGTACATAATCTCACAACTGAGAAAGTTCCCTCCACACTCTTGGAATTGTACACTCATTGGAGCCCTTAAGGTAAAACTAACCAGGGAAATTTCTCCCAAAATGAAGATGGCATCCTTGATGTGAATATCTTTTCCCAAGTTAACAGATTAACACTTCTACTGTCATGAAATTCTTATCTTTTATTATTTTTTCTTGCTTATGCCTCTCTGAACAATAGAAATGGAAAAGGGATCTGTTATGTGCACTTATGGGGTGTACTTTTGTTTAAGGAATTTGCAGCCAGCCTTATAAGTGGATAAACTTATACTTTGTTAGATAAAGGACAAAGGCCCAATGTACTTAAGAAACTTTAATGGTACATATGTTGCCTAATAATCATTCAAAAACAAACAAACAAACAAACAAACAATGATTCACTCCTCTTAATCCACATCATGGGTTAAAGAGAACATTGCCAGGAGGCCTTCACTCTTTTAGAAGGGCATCATTTGTTAAGTGCTTTTTCCATGGTTTAGAGTAGAGAAGCAATGAATAGAAATGTACCCCCATTATATGCTCTATAGCAAATTTTACTGTAAGGCCTACAGTTAAACAACAGACTTTAAATTCTTTTGTGAAAGTTATAATAGAGTTGGATGAACAGAAAAGTATCTATGCTGCAGCTGGCACTTATGACCTACGGAAAAATACATTAAATGAAGATTATGGAAATTCAGTGAAGGAGATGAGACTGCTAAGTTAAGTGAGTAGACTCTTTATCTAGCTCATTCTTTAATCGATTCTATTTTAGGAGGTTTGGCTTATGGGGACCTTCGATGAGCACCATACTCCAAACTCTAGGTATTATGCTCCCAATAGTCATAATAATAGTCTCGTTGCTGCGCTATATTCTCTCAAAGGTTTTAAATGCTTATATGCAACCATCACTAGGATGTCATTTGGTCTCTCTTCGACTGGAATAACAAGAGCTGAAAGAAATGTGCAACCATGAGGACACCGTAACCTGTCAATGACATGCTGAGATGGGAAACCCAAAATGATGGTAACTGAGAGTGGCACTAAGGCCCTAAGTTTTGGTCACATTCTCACCTAAGTGAGAACCTGATCAAAAAGGGGAAATTTCTGAAATGAAATGATAGGAGGCCATTGTTTTGGACTGGGCTCATGCACTAAGCCTCAACAGACCAAACCAAACCAAAATGGAGTCGCTAGTTCTAAGACTTTAAGGAAACACACAGATCCTAGAACACACCACAAGCAAAATTTTGTTTGTCTCCTGCAAATCTCTATAACAAACATTCTCGACAGCATAGGTATCCACCCCTGAAGTTCCCAATAAATGTTTTAACCCAATTCATTTCCTCTCACCTAGAGACCATCTAGCTTCAGATGATCATGCAACAAAGGCTCCAGCCAATTCCAGGTAAAGACACCACCCCTGGCCATCAAGGAGATACCCTGCCTCCACTAGAGAGAGCAGAGTGAGAGTTCTGTGATCCTCAATAGGTAGAAACTACACCCCAAGCCAGCATGAAGCAGCTACAGAAGAAAGACCAGCTGTCCCTCTGCCTCCCATAAAGATTTATGAAGATCACATCTCTCAGTGGGGAAATGAGTCAAGAAAATAATGTCTGGAGGCAGGGAACATAAGGCCAATTAACACTTCAGCTATGACAGGAAATATCCTTTCCATAGGGTGTACACTAAGTGACTTCGTAACCTTACTTTGTCCTCTTCATTTACATAGGGCATACAGCAAGTAACCAATGGAAACTGCTAGAGTGTATTTAAACTCCCACAAATTCTGTAATGGGGCCCTATGCTCATGCCCATTACCACACTGTGAAGTGTACTTTCATTTCGAATAAATATCTCCTTTTGCTACTTTATTCTTTCCTTGCATTTTTTTCTGCATTTTGTCCAATTCTTTGTTCAAGAAGCCAAGAACCTGGACACCCTCTTTCGGTAACACAATCAACTCCTAAGTACCAACCTCCTAATATCATCATCTTGGAGGTTAAAATGTGGTATATACATTTTGTGAGAATGTAAAGATTTCTTTATCCAGTCTGGTGTTGACAGGCATTTAATTTGATTCCATGACTATGCTATTGTGAACAGTGTTACAATGAACATATGCATGCACGTGTCTTTATGATAGAATGATTTATATTCTTTGAGCTATATGCTCAATAATGGGATTGCTCGGTTGAATAGTAATTTTGTTTTAAGTTCTTTGAGAAATCACCACACTGCTTTCTACAATGGTTGAACTAATACACCAGCAGTGTATAAGTGTTCTCTTTTCATTAGAACCTTAGCAGCACCTGTTATTTTTTGACTTTTTAGTAATAGCCATTCTGACTGGTATGAGATGGTTTCTCATTGTGGTTTTGATTTACATTTCTCTAATGATCAGTGATGTTGAACATTTTTTTCATATGCTTGTTTGCCACAAGTATGTCTTCTTTTAAAAAACATCTGTTCATGTATTTTCCCCACTTTTTAATTTTTTTTTTTTGCTTATTTTGTTTAGGTTTCTTGTAGATTCTGGATATTGGAACTCATCAGATGCATAGTATAATAATAGGCATTCTGACTGGTATGAGATGGTATCTCATTGTGGTTTTGATTTACATTCCTCTAATGATCAGTGATGTTGAGCATTTTTCATATGTTTGCCACAAGTATGTCTTCTTTTAAAAAGCATCTCTTCACGTATTTTCCCCACTTTTTAATGGAGTTGTTGTTCTTTTTGCTTGTTATTTTGTTTAAGTTTCTTGTAGATTCTGGATATTGGACATTCATCAGATGCATAGTGTGTGGGCATTTTCTTCCATTCTTTAGGTTGTCTGTTTATTCTGTTGCTAGTGTCTTTTGCTGTGTAGAAGCTGTTTAGTTTATTAGGTCCCACTTGTCTTTTCTGTTTTTCTTGCAATTGCTTTTGGTGTCTTCATCATGAAATCTTTGCCAGGGCCTATTTCAGAATGGTATTTCCTGGGATATCTTCAAGGGTTTTTCATAGTTTTAGGCTTAAAACTTAAGGTTTTAATATATTTTGAGTTGATTTTTTAATACAGTGTAAGGAAGGCTTTCCCGTTTCAATCTTCTGCACATGGCTAGCTAGTCATCACAGCATCACTCGTTGAATGATTGCAGGTGTGCAGCATTATTTCTGGGACTTCTCTAGTGTTCCCTTGGTCCATGGGCCTGCTTCTGTACTAGTACCCTCATGGGTGACTTTGAGGAATTCAAGACTTCAGTGGAGAAAATAACTGCAGATGTGGTGGAAATAGTAAGAGAACTATAGTTAAAATTGGAGCTTGAATATTACTGAATGGTTGCAATCTCACGATATAATTTTACCAAATGAGAAGCTACTTTTATGGATGAGCAAAGAAACTGGTTTGGTGAAATAGATTCCACTTCTGATGAAGATGCTGTAAACATTCCTGAAATGACAGCAAAGGATTTAGAATATGACATAAACGTAGTTGGCGAGGCAATGACATTGAGAGAATTTTCTCTTCATGCTTTCATGTCCCCACAGTGATGGAGCTGCCTCACAGAGCCTTTCTCAGAAGATAGCCCAGGCATTACATGACACATGACTGTCATTTTTGACAGGGAAAGAGTTACTTGTGCCATTTTCCTTTTTTTTTTTTTTTTTTTTTTTTGCTGAGACAGAGACTACCTCTGTCCTCCAGGGTGGATTGCAGTGGCGCAGTCTTGGCTCACTGCAACCTCTGCCTCTGAGGCTTCTGAGTAACTGGGGTTACAGGCTTGCACCACTACACCTGGCTTAATTTTGTGTTTTTAGTAGAGATGGGGTTCCACCATGTTGGCCTCAAACTTCTGGCCTCAAGTGATCTGCCTGCCTCAGCCTCTCAAAATGCTGGGATAACAGGCATGAACAACTGCTCCCAGCTACTTGTGCCATTTTCAATGTTTCCCACTCTCTATAGCTTTTTGTCCTTCATATTCACCTTTACTACCATTTCGTAAGGTTATGTGATTTTTTAAAATGACATTGGTATTTCTTTCTCATTTCCTGTGGAGTATATTCTAACACAGTTATTCTCTGTTCTGTGGGGATGACATACGATTTAATAAAATCATAGCAATTTACTTTGAATCAATGCCAATGTAACTTAAATTTTATATAAAAACTCTCCCTTTCCCCAGGTTTTTATTCCACTTCACATTGTTTTGTTACTAATTACAGCTTTCTACATTGTGTACATATTAACTTAGAATTATACTTATTTGTATAAATTCATATTTTAAATCTTCAAGAAAAATAGAGTACAATTCCAAAATTTCAAAAATACATGTTTTCATATTTTGCCACCTATTCACATTGACTAGGACATCTTTATAGGTCTAAATGGCTGTTAGTTACTATCTATTTCCTCTCCTTCATCCTGAATTATTCACTTCAGCATTTCTTGTAGAGAAAAAAATAATGAATCAGGGATTGGAGGTCCCTATACCATTTTCTTACATTCCCAAGTGTTCCTAAAAACCAAGTGTTGAGCTTTGAGAAATTACAAGTTTTTTTGTTTTCTTTCCTTTTTTTTTTTTTTTTAACTAGGAGTTCTGTGGAAATAGAGGGCTAAGTAATGAACTGGCTGGAATAAGCCTGTAGCAGATCTAGTATTTACAAATGACTGCCCTAATGATTATCTCACATCTGGAAAAACATGTTATGCTTGCTAAAGAAATTCGACATTTAAAATTTTTTCTTAGGAGTTACACACTTGACCTGTAAGTTTTGAGAAAATGTCACTGTTTTCTTGGTAATTACCTCAATCAACTTTATGAGATGTGAAATAATTATTAGTTAAAATAAGAAAGTGCAGGTGGAACAGGATGGCACTGGTTTACATGGTTTGCTTGAGACATGCTAAGGGTGAATGTTCATTAGACACTAATACGGAGATGTAGAGCACACATTATTATGTTCTGTCCTGGAGTTTGGAGGGAAAAGCTCAGCTACAAATATTTTTAGAGTGTTTCTCAACCTAGAGGTGGTATTTAAAGCCAGAGACCATCAAGGGAATGAAAATAGACAGAAAACAGTCCACGAAATTGGCCTAGGGCACTCCAAAGTTTATAGCCTCCCTGAATTTTAAGGAATACATAGTTTAAGGAAAGATTGTGGGCTGCAAAACATGCTGGGAGACCTGACTTGAGAAAGCCTCTTTGATGGGGTTAAGGTGGCCGCCAGAGTAAGAACAGTTGAGTGAAAGTGTTAGTGTGCCCAGGTCAAAAACCACTGTCCTCAAAATGCTTTCACCAGGATATCCCAAGTTCTCAAAAGAGTATTCTGAAATGAAAATTTATGTCCCCATGATTAGCTGATTTACTTTGTACTCCTAAAAACTATGTGAAAGAATTACATGTCTTTGTAAGAGTTGTTCCTAACATTTACTAAAGTTTGAAAACTTTGTGCAATTTTGCAAACACTGTTTCCAAAAGATTTTTGGGATTTTGGAGAGTTTGCTTTATTAGATGTATTATTCACCATTTTGGCCTTAATTTGAGAGTAATATGTAATGGCTTTAAGACATTTTGTCTTTCATACTTACAAGCATGCCTTATTTTATGTATGAAACATTTAAAAACATCAAGTATAATAAATTAATAGTATATTTCTGGAATCTAAGAACATTTTCTAAAGATGGGTTGGTAGTTAGGGGAATCTGATCAGTCAATGGTGTCTTCAATGTCCTGTCCTACCACAGCTCAATAGGGTCAATACTGTAATTGGGCATCAGAGGTCCAGGCCTGACTCTCAGCTCTGGGGTTTCTTGAAGGATTGTGGAGAAAGTTTCCTTTTATGCACAACATATAATTATCCCAAAATGTTGCCAATGCGTTTTTCCAAGCATACATGTACTCAACCCCCTCCTTCTAAACCTCTTCCATATCTGACCTGTAATCATTTCTTCTGGCTGTGTGCCCTCCCTCCTCACTGAACACCCCTCCCATAGGGATGCCTCATTCCTAGGCTCTGGGAGCTCTGATCTCCACACTGCTGGAGGAAGCCCATGGATTCCTGGTCATCCTGTCAATAGCCCTCATCCTCCAGACTCCATGCTGTGTGTTTTCTTGTTCCTCAAATAGCTAAAGATGCACTGATATATACCTGTCACCAGCTCCTTCTTCAGAAGCTGGAAATCATCCATGCCCACCTCAAAAAGGTCTGCAAAATGGTTGTCATCATCTCCCACTGAGAGGTGACAGTGTGCTGGCAGCCCTTGCAGTCCTCGCTCACTCTCGGTGCCTCCTTGGCCTTGGCGCCCACACTGGCTGCACTTGAGGAGCCCTTCAGCCCGCCGCTGCACTGTGGGAGCCCCTTTCTGGGCTGGCCAAGGCCAGAGCTCGCTCCCTCAGCTTGCAGGGAGGTGTGGAGGGAGAGGCACGGGAGGGAACTGGGGCTGTGCGCCACGCTTGTGGGCCAGCGTGAGTTCCAGGTGGGCATGGGCTCAGCAGGCCCTGCACTTGGAGCAGCTGGCCAGCCCGCAAGCCCCAGGCAGTGAGGGACTTAGCACCTGGGCCAGCAGCTGCTGTGCTCAATTTCTTGCCGGGCCTTAGCTGTCTCCCCACAGGGCAGGGCTCAGGATCTGCAGCCCGCCATGCCTGAGCCTCCCCACCTCTGTGGGCTCCTGTGCAGCCTGAGCCTCCCCAACAAGTGCCACCCCCTGCTCCACAGCGCCAAGTCCCATTGACCACCCAAGGGCTGAGGAGTGCGGGCACATGGCACAGGATTGGAAGGCAGCTCCACCTGCAGCCCCAGTGTGGGATCCACTGAGTGAAGCCAGCTGGGCTCCTGAGTCTGGTGGGGACTTGGAGAAACTTTATGTCTAGCTAAGGGATTGTAAATACACCAATTGGCACTCTGTATCTAGCTCGAGGTTTGTAAACACACCAATCAGCACCCTGTGTCTAACTCAGGGTTTGTGAATGCACCAATCGACACTCTGTATCTAACTACTCTGGTGGGGACTTGGAGAACCTTTGTGTCTAGCTCAGGGATTGTAAATGCACCAATCAGCACCATCAAAACGGACCAATCAGCTCTCTGTAAAACAGACCAATCGGCTCTCTGTAAAATGGAACAATCAGCAGGATGTGGGTGGGACCAGAAAAGAGAATAAAAGCAGGCTGGCCAAGCCAGCAGTGGCAACCTGTTCGGGTCCCCTTCCACACTGTGGAAGCTTTGTTCTTTTGCTCTTTGCAATAAATCTTGCTACTGCTCACTCTTTGGGTCCACACTGCCTTTATGAGCTGTAACACCATGAAGGTCTGCAGCTTCACTCCTGAAGCCAGCAAGACCACGAACCCACCAGGAGGAATGAACAACTCCAGACGTTCCACCTTAAGAGCTCTAACACTCACCACAAAGGTCTGCAGCTTCACTCCTGAGCCAGCGAGACCATGCACCCACCAGAAGGAATAAACTCCAAACACATCCAAACATCAGAAGGAAAAAACTCCAGACATGCTGCCTTTAAGAACTGTAACACTCACTGCGAGGGTCCGCGGCTTCATTCTTGAAGTCAGTGAGACCAAGAACCCACCATTTCTGGACACATTTTGGCGACCACGAAGGGACCATCACCTATTGCCAAGGGGTGAGACTATCGCCGAGGGGTGAGACCATCAGCTATCACTGAGCAGCGAGACTATCGCCTATCGCCAAGCACTGAGTACCATCAGACCCCTTTTGCTTGCTATTCTGTCCTACTTTTCCTTAGAATTTGGGGGCTAAATACCGGGCACCTGTCAGCCAGTTAAAAGGGACTAGTGCGGCCGCTGGACTAAAGACACGGGTGTCAGGCTTTCTGGGAAAGGGCTAACAACCCCCGACTCTTCGGAGTTGGGACCATTGGTTTGCCTATAACCAGCTTCTGCTTTTCCTGTATTTCTGGGCTGAGCCAAGGGTCAACAGAGAGGAAAACCATGCAGCTCCGGGTTCCTGATGACAAGTTGGTTGACCCTGCAGCCATGAGTGGAACTCTCAAAGGCATGTCGCCCAAGTGAGACTCACTCATCTATCCTATCTATCCTGACCCTTGCCCCCTGGGTCCTAAAGCTTGCCAGAGAAACTTTCTCTTGACTCTCTTCTCCAAGGTTAGTCTTGCTTCTAAAGACTGCTACCTGTCTCTGGTGTTTTTCTAGTTTCTCCCATAAGAATGACTTCTAGTATCAACTCTGTTACCTTCTTTAGGCACCTGGATTCACCAATCAGAAAGACATAATTTTTGCCCAAAGCCCCATCATAGTGGGGACTACCTGGAATTTTAGGATCCCTCCTCAGACTAACAGGCCTAACAAAAGCTATTCCTGAAGCTAGGATGTGGGGAGCCTCAGAAATTGTATCCTTCCTATTCATATAAGTAAAGACAAAAGGTGTCACTCTTCCAACCCTGGAGATCCCTTACCTCCGTCAGGGTAAGGTCCTTCACTTCATTTTTGGGGCATAACATCTTTACAGGACAGGGGTAAAGTCCTAATACTAACCGGTGAATGCTTAGGACTCTAACGGGTTTTTGAGAATGTGTCGGTAAGGGCCACTAAATCTGATTTTTCTCAGTCAGTCCTCCTTGTGGTCTAGGAGGACAGGCAAGGGTGCAGGTTTTCGAGAATGTGTCGATAAGAGCCACTAAATCCAACCTTCCTTGGTCCTCCATGTGGTCTGGGAGGAAAACTAGCGTTTCTGCTGCTGCGTCGGTGAGCGCAAGTATTCCAACCAGCAGGGTCCACGGACCATTGCAGGTTCTTGGGCAGGGGTTGTTTCCACTGCTGCGTTGGTGAGCACAGGTATTCTGATCAGCAGGGTCCAGGGACTGTTGTGGGTTCTTGGGCAGGGGGAGAAACAAAACAAACCAAAACCACAGGCAATTTTGTCTTTCAGATGGGAAACACTCAGGCATCAACAGGCTCACCCTTGGAATGCATCCTAAGCCATTGGGACCAATTTGACCCACAAACCCTGAAAAAGAGGTGGCTCATTTGTTTCTGCACTACAGCTTGGCCCCAATATTCTCTCTTTGATGGGGAAAAATGGCCACCTGAGGGAAGTACAAATTACAATACTATCCTGCAGAGCTTGACCTTTTCTCTAAGAGGGAAGGCAAATGGAGTGAAATACCTTATGTCCAAGTTTTCTTTTCATTGAAGGAGAATACACAACTATGCAAAGCTTACAATTTACATCCCACAGGAGGACCTCTCAGCTTACCTCCAGATCCTAGCCTCCCTATAACTCCCCTTCCTATTAATGATAATCCTCCTCTAACCTCCCCCGCCCAGAAGGAAATAAGCAAAGAAATCTCCAAAGGACCACAAAACCCCCCGGGCTATTGGTTATGTCCCCTTCAAGCTGTAGGGGAGGGGAATTTGGCCCAACCCGGGTACATGTCCCCTTCTCCCTCTCTGATTTAAAGCAGATCAAGGCAGACCTGGGGAAGTTTTCAGATGATCCTGATAGGTACATAGATGTCCTACAGGGTCTAGGGCAAACCTTTGAGCTCACTTGGAGAGATGTCATGCTACTGTTAGATCAAACCCTGGCCTTTAATGAAAAGAATGCAGCTTTAGCTACAGCCCGAGAGTTTGGAGATATGTGGTATCTTAGTCAGTAAATGATAGCATGACAGCCGAAGAAAGGGACAAATTCCCTACCAGTCAGCAAGCCATCCCCAGTATGGATCCCCACTGGGACCTTGACTCAGATCATGGGGACTGGAGTCGTAAACATCTGTTGACCTGTGTTCTAGAAGGACTAAGGAGAATTAGAAAAAAGCACATGAATTATTCAATGATGTCCACCATGACTCAGGAAAGGGAAGAAAATCCTTCTGCCTTCCTTGAGTGGCTACATGAGGCCTTAAGAAATTATACTCCCGTCACCCAAATCACTCGAGGGTCAATTGATTCTAAAAGATAAGTTTAATACCCAATCAGCCACAGATATCAGGAGAAAGCTCCAAAAGCAAGCCCTGGGCCCTGAACAAAATCTAGAGGCATTATTAAACCTGGCAACTTCAGTGTTCTATAATAGGGACCAAGAGGAACAGACCCAAAAGGAAAAGCATGATCAGAGAAAGGCTGCAGCCTTAGTCATGGCCCTCAGACAAACAAACCTTGGTGGTTCAGAGAGGACAGAAAATGGAGCAGGCCCATCACCTGGTAGGGCCTGTTATCAGTGTGGTTTACTAGGACACTTTAAAAAAGATTGTCCAATGAGAAACAAGCTGCCCCCTCATCCATGTCCACTATGCTGAGGCAATCACTGGAAGGTGCACTGCCCCAGAGGACAAAGGTTCCCTGGGTCAGAAGCCCCCAACCAGATGATCCAACAATAGGACTGAGGGTACCCAGGGCAAGCGTCAGCTCATGTCTTCACCCTCACTGAGCCCCGGGTATGTTTAACTATTCAGGACCAGGAAATTGACTTCCTCCTGGACACTGGTGCAGCCTTCTCAGTGTTAATCTCCTGTCCTGGATGACTGTCCTCAAGGTCTGTTACCATCCGAGGAATCCTGGGACAGCCTGGCACCAGGTATTTCTCTCACCTCCTCAGTTGTAATTGGGAGACTTTGCTCTTTTCACATGCCTTTCTTGTTATGCCTGAAAGTCCCACATCCTTATTAGGGAGGCATATATTAGCCAAGGCTGGAGCTATTATCTACATGAATATGGGAAACAAGTTACCCATTTGTTGTCCCCTACTTGAGGAGGGAATCAACCCTGAAGTCTGGGCATTGGAGGGACAATTTGGAAGGGCGAAAAATGCCCACTCAGTCCAAATCAGGTTAAAGGATCCCACCACTTTTCCTTATCAAAGGCAATATCCCTTAAGGCCTGAAGCTCATAAAGGATTACAGAATATTGTTAAACATTTGAAAGCTCAAGCCTTAGTAAGGAAATGCAGCAGTCCCTGCAACACCCCAATTCTAGGAGTACAAAAACCGAATGGTCAGTGGAGACTAGTGCAAGATCTTAGACACATCAATGAGGCAGTAATTCCTCTATATCCAGTTGTACCCAATCCCTATACCCTGCTCTCTCAAATACTAGAGGAAGCAGAATCGTTCATGGTTCTGGACCTCAAGGATGCCTTCTTCTGTATTCCCCTGCACTCTGACTCCCAGTTCCTCTTTGCCTTTGAGGATCCCACAGACCACACATCCCAACTTACATGCCCCAAGGGTTTAGGGATAGCCCTCATCTGTTTGGTCAGGCACTGGCCCAAGATCTAGGCCACTTCTCAAGTCCAGGCACTCTGGTCCTTCAATATGTGGATGATTTACTTTTGGCTACCAGTTTGGAAGCCTTGTCCCAGCAGGCTACTCTGGATCTGTTGAACTTTCTAGCTAATCAAGGTTACAAGGTGTCTAGGTTGAAGGCCCAGCTTTGCTACAGCAGGTCAAATATCTAGGCCTAATCTTAGCCAGAGGGACCAGGGCCCTCAGCAAGGAACGAATACAGCCTATACTGGCTTATCTTTGCCCTAAGACATTAAAACAGTTGAGGGGGTTCCTTGGAATTACCGGCTTTTGCCGACTATGGATCCCCAGATACAGCAAGATAGCCAGGCCCTTCTATACCCTAATCAAGGAAACCCAGATGGCAAATACTCATCTAGTAGAATGGGAACCAGAGGCAGAAACAGCCTTCAAAACCTTAAAGCAGGCCCTAGTACAAGCTCCATCTTTAAGCCTTCCCACAGGACAAAACTTCTCTTTATAAGTCACAGAGAGAGCCAGTATAGCTCTTGGAGTCCTTACTCAGACTCGTGGGACAACCCCACAACCAGTGGCGTACCTAAGTAAGGAAATTAATGTAGTAGCAAAAGGCTGGCCTCACTGTTTAAGGGTAGTTGCAGCAGTGGACGTCTTAGTGTCAGAGGCTATCAAAATAATACAAGGAAAGGATCTCACTGTCTGGACTACTCATGATGTAAATGGCATACTAGGTGCCAAAGGAAGTTTATGGCTGTCAGACAACTGCCTACTTAGATACTAGGCACTACTCCTTGAGGGACTGGTGCTTCAAATATGCATGTGCATGCCCCTCAACACTGCCACTTTTTCCCAGAGGATGGGGAACCAATTGAGCATGACTGCCAACAAATTATAGTCTAGATTTATGCCGTCTGAGATGATCTCTTAGAAGTCCCCTCAACTAATCCTGACCTTAACCTATATACAGTTGGCAGTTCATTTGTGGAGAATGGGATACGAAGGACAGGTTATGCCACAGAGATGTAACCATATTTGAAAGTAAGCCTCTTCCCCCAGGGACCAGTGCCCAGTTAGCAGAACTAGTGGCACTTACCCAAGCCCTAGAACTGGGAAAGGGAAAAAGAATAAATGTGTATACAGATAGCAAGTATGCTTATCTAATCCTGCGTGCCCATGCTGCAATGTGGAAAGAAAGGGAGTTCCTAACCTCTGGGGGAACCCCCATTAAATACCATAAGGAAATTATAGAGTTATTGCATGCAGTGCAAAAACCCAAGGAGGTGGGAGTCTTACACTGTCAAATCCATCAAAATGGGAAGAAGAGGGGAGAACAGCAGCATAAGCAGCTGGCAGAGGCAGCAGAAAGGAAAGAAAGAGACAGGAAGTCAAAGAAAGAGACAGAGGGGAAGAGACAGAGACAGAAACAGGGAGACAAAGAGAAGGAGAGAGAGGAAACAGAGTCAAAGAGAAAGAGACAAAGAGAAGGAGTCAGAGAGAAAGAGGGACAGACACAGAAAGTCAGAGTCAGAAAGAGAGGAAGAGACAAAGAAGTCAAAGAGAAAGAGAGATGGAAGTAGTAAAGAAAAAAACAGTGTATCCCATTCCTTTAAAAGCCAGGATAAAGTTCTGTCTACCCAGCCAAGGCATATTTTTCTTATGCGGAACATTGACCTATATCTGCCTCCCCACTAACTGGACAGGCACCTGCACCTTAGTCTTTCTAAATCCCAACATTAACATTGCCCCAGGAAATCAGACCTTATCAGTACCCCTCAAAGCTCAAGTCCGTCAGTGCAGAGCCATACAACTAATACCCCTACTTATAGGGTTAGGAATGGCTACTGCTACAGGAACCGGAATAGCTGGTTTATCTACTTCATTATCCTACTACCACACACTCTCAAAGGATTTCTCAGACAGTTTGCAAGAAATAACGAAATCTATTCTTACTTTACAATCCCAAATAGACTCTTTGGCAGCAGTGACTCTCCAAAACTGCTGAGGCCTAGACCTCCTCACTGCTGAGAAAGGAGGACTCTGCACCTTCTTAGGGGAAGAGTGTTGTTTTCACACTAACCAGTCGGGGATAGTACAAGATGCCAACCGGCGCTTACAGGAAAAGGCTTCTGAAATCAGACAACGCCTTTCAAATTCTTATACCAACCTCTGGAGTTGGGCAACATGGCTTCTCCCCTTTCTAGGTCCCGTGGCAGCCATCTTACTGTTACTTGCCTTTGGGCCCTGTATTTTTAACCTTCTTGTCAAATTTGTTTCCTCTAGAATCAAGGCCATCAAGCTACAGATGGTCTTACAAATGGAACCCCAAATGAGTTCAATTAACAACTTCTACCAAGGACCCCTGGACCAACCTGCTGGCACTTCCCCTGGCCTGGAGAACTCCCCTCTGGAGGACACTACAACTGCAGGGCCCCTTCATTACCCCTATCCAGCAGCAATTAGCTAGAGCAGTCATTGGCCAAATTCCCAACAGCAGTTAGGGTGTCCTGTTTAGAGGGGGGATTGAGAGGTGACAATGTGCTGGCAGGCCTCACAGTCCTTGCCATTCTTGTTGCCTCCTTGGCCTTGGTGCCTACTCTGGCCATGCTTGAGCAGCCCTCCAGCCTACTGCTGCACTGTGGGAGCCCCTTTCTGGGCTGGCCAAGGCCAGAGCCATCTCCCTCAGCTTGCAGGGAGGTGTGGAGGGAGAGGCATGGGTGGGAACTGGGGCTGCGCATGGCCTTGTGGGCCAGCACGAGTTCCGGGTGGGCATGTGCTCAGCAGGCCCTGCACTCAGAGCGGCTGGCCAGCCTGCAAGCCCAGGGCAGTGAGGGGCTTAGCACCTGGGCCAGCAGCTGCTGTGCTCAATTTCTCACCGGACCTTAGCTGCCTCCCCATGGGGCAGGGCTCGGGACCTGCAGCCCACCATGCCTGAGCCTCTCCACCGTCCGTGGGCTCCTGTGTGGCTGGAGCCTCCCTGACGAGCGCTGCCCCCTGCTCCACGGCACCCAGTCCCATCAACCACCCAAGTGCTGAGGAGTGCGGGCGCATGGCACGGGACTGGCAGGCAGCTCCACCTGCGGTCCCAGCATGGGATCCACTGGGTGAAGCCAGCTGGGCTCCTGAGTCTGGTGGGGACTTGGAGAACCTTTATGTCTAGCTAAGGGATTGGAAATACACCAATCAGCACCCTGTGTCTAGCTCAGGGTTTGTGAATGCACCAATCGGCACTCTGTATCTAGCTACTCTGGTGGGGACTTGGAGAACCTTTATGTCTAGCTAAGGGATTGTAAATACACCAATCGGCACTCTGTATCTAGCTCAAGGTTTGTAAACACACCAATCAGCACCCTGCATCTAGCTCAGGGTTTGTGAATGCACCAATCGACACTCTGTATCTAGCTACTCTGGTGGGGACTTGGAGAACCTTTGTGTCCACACTCTGTATCTAGCTAATCTAGTGCGGACGTGGAGAACCTTTGTTTCTAGCTAAGGGATTGTAAATATACCAATCGGCACTCTGTATCTAGCTCGAGGTTTATAAACACACCAATTAGCACCGTGTGTCTAGCTCAGGTTTTGTGAATGTACCAATCGACACTCTAGCTACTCTGGTGGGGACTTGGAGAACCTTTGTGTCTAGCTCAGGGATTGTAAACACACCAATCAGCACCCTGTCAAAATGGACCAATCAGCTCTCTGTAAAACAGACCAATCAGCTCTCTGTACAATGGAACAATCAGCAGGATGTGGGTGGGGCCAGATAAGAGAATAAAAGCAGGCTGGCCAAGCCAGCAGTGGCAACCTGCTCAGGTCCCCTTCCACACTGTGGAAGCTTTGTTATTTCACTCTTTGCAATAAATCTTGCTACTGCTCACTCTTTGGGTCCACACTGCCTTTATGAGCTGTAACACCATGAAGGTCTGCAGCTTCACTCCTGAAGCCAGCAAGACCAGGAACCCACCAGGAGGAATGAACAACTCCAGACGTGCCACCTTAAGAGCTGTAACACTCACCATGTAGGTCTGCAGCTTCACTCCTGAGCCAACGCGACCATGCACCCACCAGAAGGAATAAACTCCGAATACGTCCGAACATCAGAAGGAAAAAACTCTGGACACGCTGCCTTTAAGAACTGTAACACTGCGAGGGTCCACGGCTTCATTCTTGAAGTCAGTGAGACCAAGAACCCACCAATTCCAGACACACCACCCCCGATCCTAACTTATAAGCAAATCATCCTTTTTGAGCTAATGAGTCAGAAAGAAAGAAAACATACAATAATGGAGACCAAAGTAGGTAAAGAATCTTTAGAAGAGAGCACTGAATTATTTCAAAGAAAACAAATTTATTGTCTTTCCCTTATGGCCTGTGGACTTATATTTGGTTAACTGAAGTCTCTAAGCAGGGTAGATTTAGCCAAAGGCGGTATGTCTAATCACTAGCATAAAGACGTCCTCTGTGTCACCATCTACACACAGGGCCTCTGGTAGAACTCACGCAAAGTCCTCCATGTTAATATTTGTCTGAAAATGGATAATCAGGGTGTCCAGCAAGACTGAAGAAAGAAAGAATAATGCGTGATATGAACTGCAATGATTCCATTACTGGGGGGTAGCACAGTGATTTCTAGGAAGCTGCCATTAGTGTGGATGTTAAGAAGTTCATATTCTGATTGCTGGAGAATCTGCATTTTTTGAGAGCATGACTTTATAGTATCTGTATTATCAAAATAATAAATTATTCAATTCTACTCCCCTGCCTGGAACTTAATACATAAAACACAAAGTCAGCTGGGCATAGTGGCTCATGCCTGTAATCCCAGCACTTTGGGAGGCCAAGGTGAGTGGATCACCTGAGGTCAGGAGTTTGAGACCAGTCTGACCAACATGGTGGAACCCCGTCTCTACTAAAAAATACAAAAATTAGGCGAGTATGGTGGCAGGCACCTGTAATTCCAACTACTTGGGAGGCTGAGACACGAGAATCATTTGAACACAGAAGGCGGAGGTTGCAGTTAGCCGAGACCACGCCACTGTACTCCAGCCTGGGCAACAAGAGTGAAACTCTGCCTCAAAACAAACAAACAACAAAACAAAACACACACACAGTCAAATCTTCAAAAACATTCCTGTACATCTGCCTACAGAGCAAAGAGTCATTCTGACCTTTTCTATTTCAAATTCCCAAGGAAAGTAGGAACTCTTTCTGCCCTACTTTGAAGAAGAAGAGGCAAGTTATACGCTCATCACTAATAAATAATTTTGAGTGTGAATGGCTACTGGTAGCAATTAGGCTGTCTTTTATTACTTTATTTATTACCTAGTGCCTGCCTACCTTATGAAACATATTTGGTAATTTTCAGAAATGTAAACTGTTGTGTATGATACAGGGTCCAATATCCAGGAATATGCAATGCATTAAAAATGTATATGTAGAAATAGCACAAAAAATAAAGGGAAAAACAAATGCCTACTTATCCTTAAATATTTCATTGGTGGTAAGAATTACAAATGCTTGCTATTCTTCCTTTCATTTAATAATTTCCTTTTTATGTTTTATTTTCCTCTATATTAATAAAATATCAACAATGGTATCTACCAGTTTTTGAGTTCTTACAATGTGCCATTGTTGTTATGTTTTTCACACATTATCTCATCATCTCTATTACTTGTTAAAATCTCCACTGCCAGCAGTTACATAACTTCTGTTTTCCCTCATTACATGAGTTACTGTCTATGACTACTAAAACCTTCAAAGCATGAAGAAATAGTAAATGCCTTTTGTTGGCTATAGATTATTCCAACAAAGGGGCTTTTGCATCCACACTCCTTCTTTGATTTTAAAATTTCATTATTCTCAGAATTGAGATCTCCATATTGCAGAAAATTAAATCCAAGTGCTCCTATTCACTCCACTAAGGCAGCCTTTCTGGAGGCAAATACAGTGTTTGGGTCATGTGCAAACATCCAAAGAGAAAAAAGAAAGAGATTTGAAATGAGTAAAGACACCGAATTGACAGGATTTAGTGAGCAATTCCATATGGAGAAGGTGAGAATTGGCACCTGGACCACAAGGTTGATGGAAATGTTTTTGATCTGATAAGGAGCTGAGCAGGTTTGGGAGAACATGATATAAGCACAAATTTTGGAAACATCTAATGCGGCCACATGGGCAGTATCCACAGTGTGTCCACTAGACAGTAGTAAAAACACCAGGCCTACATGGAAGGTGCAGATTTGGCAATGATGTCGACTGCTCTGGAAAGTTCCATGGAGTCAGGAGAGCAGAGGCACAGGTTAACCCACACTGACCTCAACCTATAGTTACATATATAGTCCTAAATATTTTTAATAAAGTGAAATTAACACAGGGACAAAGGTACATGGAAGGAATTACAGAAGGAATACAGTGCAAGCTCCTATGAGTCCTCTCCCAGTGATGTTGCACAGAACACACTGATAGAGAGAAAAGTGAGACTCAAATTTCATGTATCTAGTCCCTAATCACAAACATAGTAGTCTCAGGACAGTCTTGGAATACAAGTTTTCTTCCAGTGTAGAAATAGTTTAGTCTATAAAATAAAGTCTCCATTTTGCTCACATTTGTGTCAGAGGACCACTCCTATCATTTTGTTACAAATCTGATGCATATGAACAAGGGCCAATAATTTAAACGTAACTTGTTAGGTTCTAGTCGTTTTTTCTTTTCTCTTAAAATGAGGATATTTTATATCCTCTGGTAATTTTCTCAGAGGTGAGAGTAGTACATGGGAAATTCTCTTTAGTCCAGGTCCAGTATTACCATGTGGTGCTCAAGGCCGCATATCAGAACAGTGATACTCTCCCAACATATTTCATGCACCCCATCTCCACTAAATTTTGCCACAAAAATTCTTCTGTATTATGTCTTCTTAGAAGAAGAAAAGATTTCTTCAGTGTAGAAGGAAACAGAGAAACCACTTCTATTGCCATCAATTTCCAAGAGAGGAGCAGGCAGGCAGTGTTTTTCACTGCTGAGTTTCATGGATTCTGACAAGCTATGAAATAAACATAAATAGAAGAAAAAAAACAGTGCCCCAAATAAACAGTAGATGACCATGCAACCAGACTTCTATGCACAACAAAGGTTGACTTTTTCTCTTTGTACATACAGTATAGCTTTAACCTAGGGAAACTCAGGTTGGAGTCATGCAGAGTAATACACGAACACAAACCTGACAACCCAGGTCAGCTTCCACTTATTCTGGCTTTGCTCTTTTCAACTCTCTGCACCAAAAACATTATTATTACCTCTGGAGGTGCATAGGTGCCAAATCCCAGGACAGGCATGAAGTGACCATCATTTAGCTTCAAACACTGATGTTTTGAATCCATCACTGTCACTCAGCTGGCTAGCAAATGTTTCTTTCTTCTTCCCTCACAGGTTATAAAATCAATGGAGGCAATGCCCTCTGCACACTGCCTAATGGTTAACCAATAGCATGTAAAAGAAAGTATGCATGCCATCTTATGCTGGTTGTGAAGAAAACTGAATCCAGTTCAATTGTTTCTTCTCTAATAAAATTCTTAAGTAAAGCATTTTACAAATAAACTCATTATTTTATCTCTGAAGCAGTTTTGCTTTTCAGAATCTCTATATATTACAAAAATTATTCAATTACTCAAAGATATTTCAGAACAAATTATGACTGTATGTGCAACTATAACAACTTCCAGCTACAAATGTTTTTTGTTTGTGCCATGATGATATCATTTCTTTATTGTGAATCATTTGAAATGACTAACCAACTTTCATCTTTCTTTCTCTCACACACACAATCTTAAAAAATGACTAAGAGTTCTTTAAAAAGATTACCCTCAATAAAAAATTAAAGTTAAAACCCCCCAAAAATGGTATTTTTGCTTTTTTCCTCAGCAAATTTATTGTTTCTTTCTTTTTTGCATTGTAAGAAAAATATTCATTGCTGATGAAGGTACAGTACTGATAAAGATATAATCCTGAATAGGGTGCAAATGAAAAAGAAAATCTGATTATTGGAGTATTGATTAACAGCCTTTGGACTTTGGACGTCATTTGCAATATGCAAACAGTGCCTTTTTTTCTTCCAGCCAGTTTTAATAGAGGCTATTGTAAAGCAACAAACCAAAAAACTGATAACTATTTTATATAATTTATGCTCTTGCTAAACATTATTCCTAAAGAAAAATGAGAAATTACTTGTTTCTGCCTTTACAGGGCAGATTAAAACATGATTGTTGTTTGCATCATGCATGACCAATATCTTTGAGTTGTTTTGCAACGCCCTGATTGCTTCCATTTGCTTTTTGATGAAACAACAAAAAAAGAGAAATAGGTAAATTATTATATATTGACATAATGTAATATTATAAAGTCATGAAAATTTTCACAGAGAATGATTTCAGTAAGATAGTGGATTAAAAAGCTAACAGTGGACACATGGAATCCTCAAGAAACTGTCTAAAATTGACTAAAGTATATGTATTTATTTACCCAGTGTCTTAGTAGAGATTCAGGGTGACTATATGTGGGCGAAGGATTACCCAGGTGCCAAGGCAAGAGATTGAAGGCACAAACTGTTTCAGTATAATATAGAAAATAGCTAGAATAAGAATAGTTATAATAAAAATTAGATATAGAGATGATCATGGACATTACCAATCATTACTACAAACATTGTTAATCATTAGCTTTTAATATTACTCTTTGTTTTATTACTAATATAACCAAGGAATAACCGGTAGGCATACGGTCAGGTGCTGAAGGGACATTGTGAGAAGTGACCTAGAAGGCAAGAGGTGAGCCTTCTGTCACGCCTGCATAAGGACAGCTTGAGGGCTCCTTGGTCAAGCTGTAACACCAGTGCCTGGGAAGGCACCCGTTACTTAGCAGACCATGAAAGGGAGTCTCCATTCCTTGGAGGAGTCAGGGAACACTCTGCTCCACCAGCTTCTTGTGTATCCAGCCCTGCCCACAGTCATCCAGAGGCATAAACCCCTCCCTGTGGTGCTGTGCTTCAATGGCCATGCTTCTTGTCCACTTTCATGTTCCTCCTGTACTCCTGGTTCCTCTTTGAAGTTCGTAGAAGATAATGGTAGAAGAAATAGTGAAAGTCTTAAAGTCTTTGATCTTTCTTATAAGTGCATAGAAGAAAACACTGATGTATGCTGCCTTCCCTCTCTGCTTCAGCTACCTAAAAGGGAAAGGCCCCCTTTCCCATGATCACATGACTTGCCTGACCTTATCAATCACTTGGAGGACTCACCCTCCTTACCCTGTCCCTTTGTCTTGTATGCAATAAATATCAGCACGCCCAGCCATTCGGGGCCACTACTGGTCTCCGCAACTTGGTGGTAGTGGTACCCTGGGCCCAGCTGTTTTCTCTTTATCTCTTTTGTCTTGTGTCTTTATTTCTTACAATCTCTCATCTCTGCACATGGGGAGAACACCGGCAAAGCCCCGTAGGGCTGGACCTTACATCTGGTGCTCCAACGTGGGTTTCTCCCTCACTGTGTGAAGTTGCACTTTGAGTGCAGGACTCAGCAGAGGACTTTCAACGACAGATTCCTGAGGATTGTCGTCATTAAGCTTGGTGGTAAGCTTGGGCACTCAGAGTATCTCAGGGACTCCATGGGACAAGCCAGTACAAAGTACTTGGCCTATTTAAACACTTCATAAAAACCCTTCTTAAAGAAGGAGGAATTTCAGTTTCTTCTGACAAGCTAATTGAACTCTTTGAGGTCGTCATTCTCATTTGCCCTTGGTTTCCAACTGAGGGAACTCTAGAACTTAAAGATTGGGATGAGGTGGGCCAACAGTTTAAAATCGCTCATAGAGGGGAACATGTTATCCCGCCGGCCATTTGCACAGTTTGGTCCTCGGTTCGCTCCATCTTAGAATCCTTGCAGCCATAGGAGGAGGGAATGGAGGGTACTCTACCTTTGCTCTCCTCCGAAGAGGTTGAGGAAATCCTCAGTACTCTCTCTCCAGAGGGCACTGCACAACCTGAAGCCATCATTTTAGAAATGGACCTCCATTCTGATATTCCTTTGGCATCACCAAATACACCACAGCCTACCATGCCTACCGCACCCCCAGTATCACTTTATGAGGACCTTATGAAGGATCTCCTTCCCCCAGATCTAAAAAATCCCTCTGAAATGTACTATCAGCAGCCCTTGTGGCCGGAACCTCCTGTACTGTCTCAGCCCTGCTGTAGGGCTCTCAACCATCCATCTGTTCAGCCCGGTTATGAGGCTGTCAACTCTATCCCTGTTCGGCCCAGTAATGAGGCCCTCAATGCTATCTCTTCACCCAATTCTGCCTTTCCTCTTATGCATCAGGCTCCACAGAAGCCTAACCTGCAGTCCATGCACCAGCCTGGAGTTCAGGCCCTGCAGTCCGTGCACCAGCCTGGAGCTCAGGCCCTGCAGTCAATGCAACAGCCTGGAGTTCAGGCCCCTGAAAGACCTGCAAAGCAGGCAACTGTGCATCAGCCTGGCTTGAAGTCTCTCAACTTCTATATTCAAAACCCCAATTTCTTTTCTGCTTCTGGTCCAGTCACAACTGCTGTTGCTACCCATAAGCAATAGGTTACATACATTCCTGATAATGACACCCCTCTTATGAGGGCCATTTCTCAGGCAAGGGAATACGGGGATCCCGAGGCATGGCCGTTTCCTGTTATTCTACAATCTCCTATACCTGCTGCCCCCATTCTAGCTGCCCCTGCTCTGGCTGCAATGGATCAGCCACCACCTGCTGACCAAGTTCAGCAGGCAGCTGACGCCACTGCCTCTCCAGACCCGCAGCTCAGGGATCAGGCTCCTCAGCCAGTGCAACAAGGGCCTGATGTCCCAGCAGAGCCAGTTCCTGGCATACATTCCATTCGGGCTGTGGTGCAACCTGATCCTTTACACCCTGGTCAGGTCCACCTATGACCTGCTACTTGGGAAAGTTTTTCTTTCAAATTCCTTAAAGATTTCAAAGAGTCGGTTAAACAATATGGTACCAATTCCCCTTTCGTCCGTTCCGCCCGAAAATCCTTAGCAGAAGATAAATGCTTGGTGCCTTGTGACTGGGAAATTCTAGCAAAATCTGTCTTATCTAAATCACAATATTTACAATTTAGGACATGGTGGGTTGATGCTGTCCAGGATTGAGTCCGCCTTAATCAGGGCTCTAATCCTCCTGTTAACGTTACAACTGACCAGTTACTGGGAATGGGGCAGTGGGCTGCAATTAGAAAGCAAACTATATTGAATGATGAAGTCACTGAGCAACTCCGAAAATGCTGCCTGGGTGCTTGGGATAAGATTCAGGATGATGGCACTAGATGTCCCTCCTTTACAGCCATTAGACAAATGCAAAATGAACCATACCCCTGACTTCATTGCCCATCTTCAGGACGTGGCAGAAAAATCTATTCCTGATCTAAATAACCAACATTTGGTTGTGGAACTCATGGCTTATGAACAAGCAAATCCAGATTATCAGGCTGCTATTCACTCTGTAAAAGGTAAAATCCCACCAGGAAGTGATTTAATCACATCCTATATTAAAGCATGTGAGGGTGTTGGTGGAACGTTACATACTGCTATGGTCACGGCTCAGGCTATGGCCAGCATTAGAATGCTTGGACAATTTCCTGGTAATTATTTTCACTGCAGCCAATCTGGACATACCAGGAAAAAATGTCCTCGGTGTTCAGACCACCACCCTGTACAACACCAATCCCCAAAGGCCGTACAACTGCGAGTCCCACCATCCACACCATGCCCAAGATGCCATAAGGGCAATCACTGGACAGCTCACTGCCACTCGAAATTCGACACTAATGGCAACCCTTTACAGCCACTTCAAAACCAGGGAAATGGTAAGAGGGGCCAGCCCCAGGCCCCTCCAGACAATGAAGCATTCCCCAACTCCCAGCCTTGGCCTTGCAGCCAGATGAGGGCATCCCCAGCTCAACCAATCGATCCAACCACTCAGTTTCCACTTCAACCATTCATGCCACAAGCATAGATGTCACAACCCCAACAAGGATCTCATTTCAATGCTTGTCCCCCGCCACCACAGGATCTGCAGCAGTAGATCTCTGCTGTATTAGAGACATTTCCCTTTTGCCTGGAGAGCCACCAATAGCTGTTCCCACAGGTGCTTTTGGGCCCTTGCCACCTGGCTCTGTTGGTTTATTGCTCAGTCACTCAAGCTTAAATTTAAAAGGTGTTCAGGTACATAATGGTGTAATTGACTCTGATTACTCTGGGGAAATACACATTACTGTTAGTTCTGCAGTTCCTTGCCAAGCTTCAGCAGGAGATTGAATTGCTCAACTTCTTCTTCTGCTGTACATTCCACTCAGATCCAGTTCTCATAAAAGAACTGGAGGTTTTAGGAGTGCAGATAATCAGGGTAAAGTGGCTTACTGGGCTAATAAAATTTCTGACACCTGACCTGTTTGTTCCACGCATATACACAGAAAGAAATTCATGGGCATGATTGACCTGGGTGCTGATGTTTCCATTATTGCTTTACACCAATGGCCTCGTCACTGGCCCAAAGAAGTCACATTCACCGGGTTGGTGGGAGTTGGTCAGGCCACTGAGGTTTATGAAAGTTCCACTATTTTACATTGTACTGGCCCAGAGGGACAGACTGGTACTGTTCACCCTCTACACCTATTCCAGTTAATCTCTGGGGAAGAGATCTTTTACAGCAATGGGGTGCACAAATTTCATTTCCACATGCTGCCAACAGTGAGCAAAGTAAAAACATTATGACAAAAATGAGATATGTTCAAGACACTGGTCTGGGAAAATTGGCTCAAGGTATTACTGCGCCTATTCAACCTTTCTATAAATTTGACTCCAAAGGGCTTGGTTATTCTTTTTAGAAGCAGTCACTGTCAAGCCTCCAGATGCCATCCCTTTGACTTGAAAACTCAGCCAGTTTGGGTGGATCAGTGGCCGCTCCCAAAAAATAAGCTGGAGGCGCTCCATAATTTAGTCCTGGAACAGTTAGAATTGGGACACATTGAGGAATCTTTCTCTCCATGGAATTCACTTGTCTTTGTTATCCAAAAGAAATCTGGAAAACAGAGAATGCTCACTCATCTTAGGGCAGTTAATGCTGTACTTCAACCTCTGGGGACATTACAATCTGGCTTACCCTCCCGCTCTATGCTCGCTGAGTATTGGCCTCTAATCCTCATAGATCTTAAAGATTGCTTTTTTAACATTCCACTGGCCTCTCAGGACTTTGAAAAGTTTGCTTTTATGGTCCCTTCCCTCAACAATGTCGCTCAGGCTACATGCTACTATTGGAAAGTCCTACCACAAGGCATGCTTAATAGTCCCACTATTTGTCAGTATTTTGTGGGGCGTGTGCTTCAACCTGTCAGGGATCAGTTTCCCCGATGTTACATCGTTTACTACATGGATGATCTCCTCTGCACAGCCCCCCCATACACCATTTTGATTTCCTGCTTTTCTGTGATTCAACAGGCCATTTCAGAAGCAGGTTTGACTATTGCACCAGAAAAAATTCAAACTACCTCTCATTTTCAATATTTGGGCATGCAGTTGGAAGACAAGCTGATTACACCACAAAAAGTTCAGCTTAGGAGAGACGCCTTAAAAACTTTAAATGACTTTCAAAAGTTACTTGGGGATATTAATTGGATTTGCCCTTCTTTGGGCATCCCTACATATGCTATGTCAAACCTTTTTGCCACATTATGTGGGGATCCAGATTTACACAGGAAAAGGTTTCTTACAGAAACCTCAGACTCAGAGAGGCTGAGTCTGAGTTATGATTGATTGAACAAACAGTTCAATGGTCTCAGGTCACTAGATTCAATCCCAAATTACCTTTTACTATTTTAATTTTTCCCACTGAACACTCTCCAACAGGGATCATCACTCAGGAACATGATATAATTGAATGGTGTTTTCTTCCCCATAGCTCTCTAAGGACACTTACTATTTACCTTGACTAAATTTCTACCCTCATTAGGCAAGCCTGTTCCCATCTTTTATGACTTTTGGGACAGGAATCTCAAAAAATTATTCTTCCCTTAAACCGTCAACAACTCTGACAAGCATTTACAAATTGTGTTATTTGGCAGGTAAATTTGGCCCATTTCCCTGGTATAATTGACAATCATTACCCTAATGTAAAATTGTTCCAGTTCCTGAAACTCACTTCCTGGATTTTACCTAATATTACCAGAAGTATTCCATTAACTGGAGCCGTTACTATATTTACTGATGCTTCCTCTAATGGCCGTGCTGTATACACAGGACCATGGGAACGCGTTCTTAACACAGGACCTATTTCTGTACAGCGAGCTGAACTTAGCACTGTTATGACTGTCCTTGAGGATTTTCCTGAGTCTGTCAACATTGTTTCTGATTCTGCATACCTCGTGCATGTTGCCCACAACATAGAAACGGTGTTAAATTTTTGCCTGAGGAAAGTTTACTTTCACTTTTTCAAAAGTCTTAGACAGTTCTCAGAGCACACTGTGCCCCCTTTTACATTACTCATATTTGAGCCCATACATCACTTCCAGGACCTCTTTCAGCTGTAAATGCCAGAGCTGATGCTTTAGCCACATCCATTTTTATGGACATGCGAAATTGTCGTGCCCTAACTCATGTCAATGCTGCAGGACTCAGAAGCAAGTTCCCTCCCACATGGAAACAGGCAAAAACCATAGTACGGCACTGTCCCTCTGGCCAAGAGTTAATTTTACAACCACTTCCTTCGGCAGTTAATCCTACAACCACTTCCTTCCAGAGTTAATCCTACACCACTTCCTTCCGGAGTTAATCCTACAACCAATTCCTTCCGGAGTTAATCCTACAACCACTTCCTTCCAGAGTTAATCCTAGAGGCTTTTCCCCCAACACACTCTGGCAAATGGACGTGACCCACTTTCCAGCTTTTGGGAGACTTTCTTTCATACATGTAACACTTGACACCTTTTCCCATTTCATCTGGGTTACATGCCAAACAGGAGAAAGTACTGCTCGTGTTAAATGACATATGCCTTCTTGTTTCTCAGTTATGGGCTGCCCTGCTAAGCTTAAAACTGATAACGGTCCCAGCTATACCAGCATTGCCTTTAAAAAGTTCACTCAAGCATGGGGCATTACTCACACTACTGGAATTCCCTATAATTCTCAAGGACAGCCTCTGGTGGAATGAGCTAATAAACCTCTCAAGGACCAGCTTCGCAAACAAGGTAACAAAAAGAAAGGGGATGTCAGTACTCCCCATGCTCAGATAAATTTAGCTCTGTTCACATTAAAATTTTTAAATTTGGCCAAGAACCAACCTTTCATGGCAGCAGAACAACACTTTGCTGGTAATAAATTTGACCCACAAAAAGGCAAGCAAGTATGGTGGAAGGACACAAAAACTAATAAATGGGAATTACGCACTGTAATAACATGGAGTAGGGGTTTTGCTTGTGTCTCCCCAGGAAAGGACCAACAACCTGTTTGGGTTCTCTCCCATCAGCTGAATTTGTACCATGACTCCAGCCCTGAAGAACCATCAGAAACAAAAGGAGAAGAGCCGCCAGAAATCAAAACGCAAGGCTCGTCACCTGACTAATACAATTTATATCTCAAGTTTGCCTCACAGCCTCGCCCTATAACTCCCAATGCTAAAATTCCACCCTGCTGATGTGGGGGGGTCAGATAAAAGTAATGTCCGAAGAGGTTGAGAGACACCTACAGGACAAAGGGATTCCAAAAACTATGGGTAATGTTATCTTGGCTGCCTTTATGGTAGTTACTGCAGTGGTAAGTATACCCGGGGCTGCAGCAACTCAAAATTACACCTACTGGCATATGTCCCGTTTCCATTCTTATTCGATCTGTTTCATGGATGGATTCCTCAGTGGAAGTTTATACTAATGACAGTGCATTCATGCCAGTCCCTAATGATGACAGATTTCCGGCTTAAACAGATGAAGAAGGAATGCCTTTTAATGTGTCCATTGGATATAAATTTCCACCATTGTGTGTAGGATTTGCACCTGGTTGTTTGGCATTCTCTAATCAAAATTGGATGTGGACTGTACCGGCCTCCAGCAATGATTCTTATCAGGTGCATAATGTCTTCTGTAGTAATTCTTTTCAGGTTCTGACCGTTAACATAAATTCATTTGAAGAACAGAGAATTCCTGTCACAGTAAAGCATAATAAAACACAAGGATTGCCAGACTGTTTAAAAGACCTTATAAAGGGACCTAATAATTCAAAACATTCTATGGAGTGATTGCAATGCCCCAAAAGTAGTGGTGCTAAGGAGTCCGATCACAAGTGTTGTCATTGACTGGGCCCCAAAAGGATATTATTGGCGAGATTGCTCTGGCCAAAATACCCAATGTCCTGAGTTTAACTATTTAATAGATTATGAAGAGAAAGGCTGGCAGTCCTACAAAAAGAGGGAATGGGTGTCTCCTTACCCATTCAAATGGTTGGACAAGGTCATCGTTCCTCCTAGACCAAAAATGATTCATCCTATAGTTACCCCGGAACATCCTGAATTGTGGAGGTTGTCTGCAGCCATATCCGGAATCAGATTATGGAATGTTGCTTATCAAAAAATTCTTACAAATACCAAAACAAACATGTATAAGATCTCTTTAATGTCTGAGAGGGTGGTACCCATTAGGAGCTGTGTTAAACCACCATATGTTATTGATTGGAAACATAATTATCACCCCTGATAGTCAAACTATTGAATGCAATAATTGCAAATTGTTTACGTGCATTGATGCTACATTTGATCCAAAAACAAGTGTTCTCCTGGTCACGGCCAGGAAAGGGGTATGGATATCAGTTTCTTTACACCGCCTCTGGGAATCGTCTCTTCTGTTCATGTAGTCAATAAAGTCCTTAAAGGGATTCTTAAAAGAACTAGGAGATTCATTTTTACTCTCATTGCGGTGATTGCAGGTTTAATTGCTGTTACTACAACAGCGGCTACTGCTGGAGTAGCCATTCATAACTTGGTCCACACCACTCATTATGTGGAAACATGCCAAAAAAATTCCACCTGACTTTGGAATTCTCAGGCTCAGACTGATCAAAAACTGGCCAATCAAATTAATGATCTCCACCAGAGTGTCATCTGGTTGGGAGACAGGATGATGAATTTAGAACACTGAATGCAACTACAATGGGATTGGAATACTTCTGATTATTGCATAACACCTTATGGTTACAAGGAAGATCAACATAGTTGGGAAAAAGTCCAAAGGCATCTAAAAGCCTGGGATGATAATTTAACCCTAGACATTTCAACACTGAAGGAGCACATTTTTGAGGCTTCCCAGGCTCACTTAACTACCATTCCTGGTTCTGATATATTTGAAAGAATTACAAAAGGACTATCTGATCTAAATCCTTTCAAGTGGATCAAACCCGTTGGAGGTTCACTTTTGTTATCAGCATTACTAATATTGGTGTGTTTATGTTGTTTGCTTTTAGTCTGCAGGCGTCTCCACGGAGTCCAATGAAAAACTCGAAGCCAGCGACAAGCAATGATGGCAATGACAATCCTAATCAATAAAAAGGGGGGAGATGTGGGCGAAGGATTACCCAGGTGCCGAGGCAAGAGACTGAAGGCACAAACTGTTTCAGTATAAGAAAATAGTTAGAGTAACAATAGTTATAATACAAATTAGATATAGAGATGATCATGGATATTATCAATCATTAGTATAAACATTATTAATCATTAGCTTTTAATGTTACTCTTTGTTGTATTACTAATATAACCAAGGAATAACCAGCGGGTAGAGGGTCAGGTGCTGAAGGGACATTGTGAGAAGTATAGTCATGGGTTGAATCACAGCATTAACAGCCCTCCAATCTGTTAACATTCTCCATTTCCCTGATTTTTTTCTTAATGACAAATACAGGAGAATTCCAAGGGGGAGAAAGTAGGCTCTGTATGTCCCTTTTGCAATTGTTCCTGCACCAGCTCTTTTGAAGCCTCCAGGTTTTCCTGTTTCAGTGGCCATTGCTCCACCCAAACCGGTTTGGCTGTTAGCCAAACAAGAGGAATGGGAGTTGGAGGTTCAACAATGGCCACTCCTAAAAATGACACCCCAATCTGATCCGATCTGTTTGCCCTTGTAATTATAAAGGCTCTGATTGGCCTTTTTTATCTTTTCCTAGTCCTTTTCCCAGACAATATCCTGTATTTTTCATTTGTCTACTATTATTACTATATTGATCTGTAGGAATAGATATTTCAGCATTCCATTGTTGCAGTAAGTCTCCACCCCATAAATTGACAGGAATAGGTGTAATGATAGGCTGAATTGTCCCTTCCTGACCATCCAGCCCTTGACATGATAAAATCAAGGAACTTTGAAAAACTTCTGAGGCAGCTCCTACTCCAACAATACCAATGGATGCATTTTGCTTAGGCCAGTGCCTGGGCCATTGATTTATAGCAATAATAGAGACATCAGCTCCAATATCTACTAGTCCTTCAAAATATTTTCCCTGAATAGTTACTGTACAAATAGGTCTTTTTTCAGACACTTGATTAACCCAATACACAGCCTTTCCTGCTGGATTAGTATTATGAAAGCCTCCCGTTCTTTTCACTGTGCTGCTTCCTAGTTTTATGTAAGGTAACAGCAACAACTTAGCAATTCTTTCTCCTGGGGAGGCAGACCACGGAGGAACTAATAACTAATTGAATTTCTCTGGTATAATCAGAGACAATTATTCCCACATGCACAGTGATGGCTTTTAAATTTAGACTAGATCTTCCAAGTAATAGACTGTTCCTGAGGGTAAGGGTCCCCTAACTCCCATAGGGACCTTCTTTGGTGGCTCCCCAGGAAGTAAGGAGATGGGAATTGTGCTGTAGAGGTCTGCGGCAGCATTGCCTGCGAGGCGGGGGATAATTGTTGTACATTTGTAAGGGCACTGGCTGTGCTGGGTATGCCTCAGTTTGTTAAGGGGCTCAAGGAGGGGCCCCTTTTCCTCTTTCCTGAAAGAGATTGTCCATCTTTGCTAAATTTAGAATGACACTGACTTGCCCAGTGATTGCCTTACACCAGGGACGTATACTGGGACTTTTCTGTTGATTGATGGTAGTAGTTTTTGCCTTTTGATTTCCTTTTCTACATTCCTTTGTGTGTCCAAATTGCCCACAATTAAAACAAGAGCCTGAGAAATGGGGCATATTCTTTCCTACTCTTAATCCAGCCATAGCCTGAGCTAAAAGAGTAGCCTTATGTAAGTTACCTCCAATGCCATTATAAGCCTTAATATATTCAGCTAAATAAGGCTTCCCTCTTAGGGGTCTATAACAGCAGTTGACACTCTGCATTAGCATTATCATATACAAGAAGCTGTATTACAACATCCTGAGCCGTTTTATCAGTTATGACCTTATACACAGCCTCTTGGAGCTGAGCAATAAAATCAATATATGGTTCTTTCAGACAGAACTGAAAGGAGGATATTTTTCCCCTGTAACATTTATGCTTTCCTATGCCTGTAAGCACACAAAGTGCAGGTGAACAATGGTAGCATCCTCCATTACTGCTTGATTCTCTAATCGACCCCAATTAGGGCCAACTCCCATTAACTGTTCAAAGGAAACAGGCACAGGTGGCTGTGCTTGTGTGTTTTCCCTTGCCTGAGTTTGAACTCCATTAGCCCACCAGGTTTTAAACTGTAAATACTGAGACAGTGAGAACAGATTTTGTCAAAGTATCCTAATCATATGGTATTAATCTATTATCAAGAGCCACATTTTTTAAATAAAGTTTGCACAAAAGGAGAGTTTGGTCCGTATTGACTAAGGGCTTGCTTAAATTCCTTTAGTAACTTAGAAGGAAAAGTGGCCCAATTAGCTATAGTCTGTCCTCCCTGCTGGATTATAGTAACGGGAAGTTGTCATGCTTCAAGTTCTCCCTCAGCTCTAGCTTTTTGAATAGAATTTTGTATAGCATGACCAATTGCTCCAGCTTTTAATGTTGCAACTACAGGAGCAGTAAGTTTTTCAGCTAATTTATTTTCTTCCCCATTAAGGGGAGAGAGAGGAGGTGGCCATTCACTTAATTCAGCAGGTGGAGCCGACGGGCTAGTAAAACATACTTTTTTTAGTTTTCCTTTCTTTTCTTTAATCTCCTCTAGTAGCTGTTCCTCACACTCAGAATCTTAAGTCAGTTTTTTTACACTCATTCTCCTCATCATCTGAATCTGCCTCATTATCTGTTTGAAATGGCTCAAAAGCTGCCTTTATTAGCGCCCACATTGACCAAGTGGAAACTGGAATTTCTGCTCCCTCTTTATATGCCTTCTTAAAATCTCTTCCAGTTCTCTCCCATTCATCTAACTCCATAGTCCCTTGTTCAGGAAACCATGGGCAAAACTGCATTACTGTACTAAAGAGTGATAAAAAATTCTGAGTACTAACTTTCACTCCCCCTCTTTGTAATAAATGCCTTAAGAAATTTAAATAAGCAGAATGTCTGCTTTCACTTTGTCTCATTGTTACCTTGGTTCTTCCGAGCGCTCAGCTCTCCCGCCGAGCTTCTTTGAGACGTCCTCAGGTGTCCTTTGACGATGCGTCCTCCACTTTCACACACTCTAGCATTCCTTCACTGGGGTCTTCATTGCCCCACATTGGGCAGCCAGGAATGTTGGGGTGATCAGACACAACACCAGGTCATGGGGGCGAGGAAGTCTGGCGGAGTCAAAGGAATGAGAAAAAGCCAGTTTGAGAGAGAAAGTAGGACCAGGGAGCCATCGCCAGGGTGGAGGCTGCAAAGGACCCGAGCTCTGGGAGCCCACACTACTTATTGGTGCTCAAACAAACAAACAGGTGGTGAGGATGTGGGGGTTGAAAGGAAACAGCGTATCAAGTGAATGAGAAACATATGGCTGCTTGAAATAACGTGAGTGCTAGAAGCAAGGAGCCAGCAAGTCTAGCAGAAATGCAAGCCCTGCCTCAGCTTCTCTCCCAACACTCAGCTTTTCTCCCAACAAATACCCAATTAAATAAAATAACAAGGCATACAAAGACATAGAAAAATATAGTATATTATAAGAAAGAAAATCAATTGGCTGAAATCATTCCTGAAGAGCTACAGACATTGAAATTAGTAGAAGACTTACACAACTACAATAAGTATACTAAAATTGCTAATGAAAAATGTGGAGAAAAACTGTCAGAAATCCAAAAAATATAGAAAAATGACAATATGATCACTGATACAGAAATTTTTTTTTTTAAATTTTTGGAGCTGAAAAATATAACTGAATTGAAAAACTCACTAGAAGGCTTCAACAGCAGATTTTGTCAATATGAACATATAATCAACATATGTGGTGACAGAATATTTAAAATTCTTGAGGTGGCTGCTCTCACAGTTTGGAGTTTAAGGCCTGTGGCTTTTCCTGGCTGAAGTTGCAAGCTGCTAGTACATTTATAATTCTGTAATGTTGAGGGGTGAAGCCTTGCTCCCACCACTTCACTATGCAGTGCACCCATGGAGACATTCTGCAGAGCTCCAACCACATATTTCTACTCAACATTGCCTAAATAGAAGCTCTCTGTGGGGGCTCCAGCCTTTCAGCAGGTATCTGTCTGGAAATTCAGGATTTCTGATACATCCTCCGAATTCTAGGTGAAAAGTGCCAAGCCTTAACCACTCATGTATCACAAAGGGCTCAGGCTCAAAACTCTCCTCATTTGTTTCTCTCTCTACTCATGATTTCCTCCAGTGACCAGGTGTGTCTCCTGTCACTTCCCAAGGCTCAAAGGACAAGACAGTTAGCACATGGGGGCTTCTGTCTGACTAGCATAGGTTTGTGGAGTTGATAAGAATTCAAATTTTCCTCAGCTGGTATACAATCTGGTGAAAAACTCTGACCTCAGGAGACCACAGAAATTCTCAGTCTTACGAAAGGAACATGAGGACAGGGAGATGGGAGCCGACACTCACATTGAAAATAAAATAAATTTTAAAATAAATAAATACAAATTTATATTGGCAGCAGTGTTTGTCCTGAGGAGGTTTCCTGTTTTGTTGACTCAATTCTCTGGGTTGAGGGGTTTATATGTGAACAATAAGGGGTATACTTGAACTTCACAGAGGTTTGTGGGTGAGGGCATGGCTGTTGAGCAGAGGAGCCATGGAGGCTAACAGTCAGTTTGCATTGTTGTGGAAACAGTCGAGCAGCAGAAGCTGTGCAGGAGGGAATAGGAAGAACAGGTATGCTGTGGAGGAGGAGGGGGCACTGTTGATACCCCGGGAGGAAATTTTGGGAAAAAGCCAGAGATGCCTAAGGGAATATGTAGGAAATTTTAATTATGACACTGGATAAAATATACAATGTAAATTTACAATGTAAAAATTACGATGAAATTTTAAGTAAAACCCACCTTGCTCATAGTGTTTTCATAGAGTGAACTCTGTCTGAAGAAACAACTGTGTCCTGAATGTTGACTCACAATAAGTGGTGGTTCCACTGAGCACTTTTTGAGATCCCTGCCTCTTCTGTACTTTTTGTTATTTTAATATTTCTCAATACTGTAGTCAACCCCTACAATCCACTGGGGTTCATGCTCTCAGGATGACTCATCAGTTTTCATCTATTCTGACTAATCCTGGATTGGGACAAAATGCAGGGGATGTTTTAAAGAGAAAATTATTAACTTTTATGGTTGTTTTGGTTAGCATAAAACCAGGTCAAGAAAACAATTTATAATTAATATAAATTTAATAGAAATCTGTTACCACCATAACAAGAAGTCTGAGGGAAGGCAAGCTCTGAGTGTTGTTCCTTGGAGTCCAGAACTTCTCTCATCGTCTCCTGACTCTTCTTCTTCTGTGTATTGATATTATCTTTGGGCTGGGTGGAGGCTGCTGAAGCAAATTTAGAACTCACACTGCAGCAGGACAATAGCTACTTGCAGAAGAAAGGCCACCTCATTTTAAAAATTTCTTTCTAGAAGTGAGGAATCATTCCTAGAAGCCCCTAGCATTGGTCCTTCTTATGTGGCATTGGCTAGGACTGGGTCACAGTGAGAGGTGACAGCATGCTGGCAAGCCCTCACAGCCCTCACTTGCTCTGGGGGCCTACTCTGCCTGGGCTCCCACTTTAGCGGTACTTGAGGAGCCCTTCAGCCCACCACTGCACTGTGGGAGCCCCTTTCTGGGCTGGCCAAGGCCGGAGCCGGCTCCCTCAGCTTGCAGGGAGGTATGGAGGGAGAGGCGCGAGCGGGAACTGGGGCTGCGCACCGTGCTTGCGGGCCAGCTGGAGTTCCCGGTGGGCAGGGGCTTGGTGGGCCCGCACTCTGAGCAGCCGGCCAGCCCTGCCGGCCCCGGGCAATGAGGGGCTTAGCACCCGGGCCAGCGGCTGCGGAGGGTATACTGGGTCCCCCAGCAGTGCCAGCCCACCCGCGCTGCGCTTGATTTCTCACCGGGCCTTAGCTGCCTCCAACGGGGCAGGGCTAGGGACCTGCAGCCCGCCATGCCTGAGCCTCCCACCCCCTCCATGGGCTCCTGCGCCACCCGAGCCCCCTTGAGGAGCACCACCCCCTGCTCCACGGCACCCAGTCCCATCGACCACCCAAGGGCTGAGGAGTGCAGGTGCAGGGCGCGGGACTGGCAGGCAGCTCCACCTGCAGCCCCGGTGCGGGATCCACTGGGTGAAGCCAGCTGGGCTCCTGAGTCTGGTGGGGACTTGGAGAACCTTTATGTCTAGCTCAGGGATTGTAAATACACCAGTCAGCACCCTGTGTCTAGCTCAGGGTTTGTGAATGCACCATTGGACACTCTGTATCTAGCTACTCTGGTGGGGACTTGGAGAACCTTTATGTCTAGCTCAGGGATTGTAAATACACCAATCGGCACTCTGTATCTAGCTCAAAGTTTGTAAACACACACCTTTGTGTCCACACTCTGTATCTAGCTAATCTGGTGGGGACGTGGAGAACCTTTGTGTCTAGCTCAGGGATTGTAAATGCACCAATCAACGCCCTGTCAAAACAGACCACTGGGCTCTACCAATCAGCAGGATGTGGATGGGGCCAGATAAGAGAATAAAAGCAGGCTGCTGGAGCCAGCAGTGGAAACCCACTCGGGTCCCCTTCCACACTGTGGAAGCTTTGTTCTTTTGCTCTTTGCAATAAATCTTGTTACTGCTCACTCTTTGGGTCCACACTGCCTTTATGAGCTGTAACACTCACCGCGAAGGTCTGCAGCTTCACTCCTGAAGCCAGTGAGACCACGAGCCCAGGGGGAGGAACTTGATATCTGCCCACTGAAACTTTTCCCTCCTGCTGGTGCTTGTGTCTGCCATTGTGTAACCTGTAGGCGGGCCTGCTCCTTGGCTAAGCAGGAAGATTAGATGGCTGTGCCTTCCACAGGTCAGATCAAGGTCTTATTACACAGATAGCTTCTCTCAGTTAACAAGGATCAGATATACACCTCTGTATCAGCCATAGCCAGTTCTTACCCATAGAACCATCTACTGGCCTGGAACTTGAATCACTCAACACAGAAAGACATCTGCTGATGTAAGCCCACTGCACTAGGGAATAAGATAAGCTCCCTGATAAGCTTGTCATCCAAACAAAAGCAAATTCAAAACATAACAGGGTAAAATAGTTTATCCAGTTGAGGAAACAAAACAGGAAATAACTCTGAAAGTATGAAAAAACAGACTGTTTAACACCCTCAAAGGATCATATTAACTCTTCAACAATAGATCCTAATTTAAATGAAATTTTGGAATACCAAAGAATTCAAAATATTGAGTTATAGAAGCTCAATGAGACCAAACAGAAAGCTTAAAACTAACACACAGAAATCAGAAAAAAAAATACAGAATATGAAAGAATATATTGACATCATTTAAAAAAATCAGAACTTCTGGAAATAAAAAAATCATTGAAGAATATGTGAAATACAGTTGAAAGCTTTAACAATAGGCTAGACCAAGAGGAAGAAAGAGTTTTAGAGCTGGAAGACAGGTCTTTCAAATTAACTCAGTCAGACATAAATATAGAAAAATTAATTTTTAAAAATCAACAAAGTATTTGAGAAATAGAGAATTTTGTAAAGTGACCACCCCTGAGAAATGTAAGCATTCCGGAGTGAGAAGAAAAAGAAGTAAAAAGTATGGCAAACTTTTTAGAGGATATACTTCAGAAAACCTTCCCTGGTATTGGGAAACATTTAGACAGTCAGATGCAAGAAGATTAGAGAATTCATGGAAAATACATTTCGAGGTGAACTTCAACACAGTATATAGTCATCAGACTATTTGAAGTCAACATAAAGAAAAAAATTCTAAGAGTTGCAAGAGAGAAACACCTAATCACCTATAAAGGAAATCCCATCAGACTACAGTTGAATTCTCAGCAGAAACCCTACAGGCCAGAATATACTATAGGCCTATATTCACCCTCCTTAAAGAACAAAAGGCAGCCAAGTATTTTATATGCTGCTAAGCTAAACTTCCAAAATGATTCAGGAATAGTCTTTTCCAGATAAACAATTACTAAGGGAATTTATTACCACTAGACCAGTCCTAGAAGAAATGCTGAAAGAAATTCTAAACATGGAAATTAGGGGACAATATACATCATCATAAAAGGGCACATTAGTACAAATCTCACAGATCCTACAAAGTAATTACACAATTGAAACTCAAAGACAACTAGGAGACAACACTATGACAGAAACAGAACCTCACATAACAATGTTAACCTTAAATGTAAATGGCCAAAATGCTCCACTGAAAGATGCAGAGTGCTAAACTGGTTAAAAAAGCAAGACTCAACCATACGCAGCCTAGGAGAAACTCGCCAACTGTCTAAAGGCACCTACAGACTCAAAGAAGAGGGGTGGAAATGGATATATCACACAAATAGAAAAAAAATACCAAAAAACAAAACGAGCAGGAGTAGCCATTCCTGTATTAGATAAAACAGACCATAAAAGAACAACAGTAAAAACGGACAAATAAAATGCATTTTATAATGATAAAAGGTTCAACACAAAAAAAGACCTAATTATTTAAAGTTGTACGTACCTAACACTGGAGCACCCAGATACATAAAACAAATACTACTAGACCAAAGAAAACAGATTTATAGCAGTACAATCATAGTACAGCACTTCAACACCCACTGATATTACCTGACAGAACATCAAGGCAGAAAATCAGCTAAGAATCTCTGGACATAAACTAGACCACAGACCAAATGGACCTAATATTTGCAGAACATTCTATCCAGCAACCACAGAGTATACATTCTCGTTATCTGCACATGGAGTATTCTCCAAATTTAACTGTATACTTCACCACAAAGCAAGTCTCAAAAAAAAGGTTTTTTTTGTTTGAGACAGAGTCTTGCTCTGTCACCCAGGCTGGAGTGCAGTGGCGTGATCTTGACTCACTGCAAGTTCCGCCTCCTGGATTCACGCCATTCTCCTGCCTCAACCTCCCGAGTAGCCGGGACCACAGGCACCCACCATCATACCCGGCTAATTTTTTGTATTTTTAGTAGAGATGGGGTTTCACCGTGTTAGCCAGGATGGTCTCGATCTCCTGACTTTGTGATCCACCTGCCTTGGCCTCCCAAAGTGCTGGGATTGCAGGTGTGAGCCACCATGCCCGGCCAATAAATTTTAAAAAATCAAAATGATATCAATTATCTTCTCAGACCATAGTGGAATAAAATAAATACCAAGAGGAACTGAAAAAATTACACAAGTACATGGAGATGAAACAACATGCCCCTCAATAACTTTTGAGTAAACAATCAAATCAATCGAATCAAACTAAGTGTCCATCAATGGATGATTGGATAAAGAAAATGTGGTGTATGGAAAACTGGAATATAATTCAGCCAAAAAAGAATGAAATCATGTCTTTCTGCAGCAACGTTGATGAACTTCAGAAACAGAACTCAAAAAGAGAATAATTGGTGACAAAAAATTGATCCCTTAAATTTGTCCCCTAAATTTTATTTTTAGAAAAAGTTTTGCAAAACTACCATTTAACCTGGCAAGTCCATTACTGGGTAGGTACCCAAAAGAATATAAATCATTCTATCACAAGGACACATGCACACCTGTGTTCGTTGCAGCACCATTCACAATAGCAAAGACATGGAATCAATCTAAATGCCCATCAATGGCAGACTGGATAAAGAAAATATCGTACATATACACCACGGAATACTATGTAGCTGTGAGAAAGAATGATATCATAACCTTGTCAGGAACATGGATGGAGCTAGAGGCTAGAGAATCTTACCTTACGCTCAAAATGAGTAAGATGAAGTAGATTTGTCTGTAAGATGTTATTAAGGATTGGGTTTAACATTAAAAGTATACTAATGCAAAGGAAACTTTTTGCTTTCTTTGGACATATTTGTATAAATGTCCTATTGGTATGTGTTCAAAAATTATGTGAAATTCCTATAATTCTGTTATGACTTAGTTTATATTACCAGTTATAATTATAATTGTTATGTAAGATTATTGTGTGCCAGAGAGGTAAGTAAATTTCCTTGCCAATTGTGTCTTTGACTGTGGCTGCCCTAAGACCTTTTGTCAGCCACAAACAATTGTTTTCTTGTTTTGATCCTTATTAAATGTGGTTTTATCATCAGCTCTAGGATTCTGTGCTCTTGAATGCAGGTTTGTGATAGCTTTTAAGATTTTGATGTTAACATGGAGAGGAAAAAACTTCCAAGACCCTCTTGGAAAACTAATGTGATAATAAATATTGAGCAAAACAGGAATTAATTGCATAAATTGAACTAATAAAGGACCAAAAAATATGCTTTTTACTTTTTGCTTAGAATGTTGCTGATCCTGTGTTTTCTTTTTCAGAATCAAGAAAACTTTTCTCTCAAGCTTATTTACAGCTTTTAACAATAGAGTAATGTACACTCCTGTAAAGAAATTTAGAGCATATTTGTTTCTCTCTACCTGATTTATTCAGAATTTGGAGACTATTTTTGAGTGTTCCTAACATACGGCAATATATTTATTTGCATAAGTGTGATAAGAATTCGTTGTTGTTGTTGTTGTTGTTGTTTTTTCCCAACAGGACACAATTGGAGAAACTGCTTATTTTACCAAGGTTTTGACTGGAATGATGTGCTTTCCTTTAAGGAATCAAACTTGACTTATAGAGCGAAAAATAGCTCTTTGGAAAAATGCCCTCATGCCTTGTCTACACAGTCCCTTTACACAGTTTGCCACCCATGGAAAATAAAGAATGTCACTTTCTCACAGGCCCAGGAGCTTCAAATTGTCTTGGGACCTCAAGAGGAGAGGAATTTAGCCAAATCATGCAGGTATTTGATAGCACACACCCATGGCTGGGCTTAAGGTTTGAAAAAGTCTTATCTGAGATTCCTTATGGAACAAAGTTTCATCAAAGCCAATTTAAAAAGGAGCCTAAATGGTAAATAGTTATTCTTGCTGTGTGTTATGCAGATAATCAAGCCAAGTATAATAAGGCTAAAGCTTATTTTGCAAACAAATGAGTCCTATCATGATTTATTTGTAATAAAAATGAGGACTGTAGGGGGAAAAATGATGTTTCAAGAACTGTGGTACACCTGTTATTAGAGTCTAGTCTCCACAGTAGTTTTTGTATTTTTATCTGCAATTTAGACTAACCCTGCCTATTCCATGAACCAACCAGTGATCTCTGGCTACAGCTCAGAAGAAACTAGAGAGATGGACCTTCAAGCTCCAAATTATCCTCAGTGAGGATACCATCTTCTAAATACTCAGGAGTCACCCTTCTATAGAAGACCACTAGGCTGCCCATCAGTAGAACACAACAAAGGAAAAATCCTGTTTGTGTTTCCCTTCGACCTACCTGGATAGCACTTTCACCAAACCACAGAGCCACTCTGTCCTGACAGTTATCAAGAGGCCAAAACCCACAGGACAACTTTCACCACCCCTCTGTCAGTAGGAAGCAGTTATAGACGCCTGACCTTTGTCCATTTTCCCCAAGAACTGGGTCTTGGAGTATTGAGGTAGGTAGTTAGTCAGACATGAGCAGGGCATGAGAGTGGCCCTCCCCAGGAATATCAGGTGACCATCAGGTGATGGTCAAGCAGTCGTTAACCTGTCTCTCTAAAATAATAATTGGTTGCAATGGGTGCCAGAGAAAGGCAGTCTCCCAATAGATAGAAACACCTGAAATCCGTAAAGACAGTAGCTACATTGCTTTACTGTCCATCAATACTGGATTGCAGTCTTTTTTTATCTTTTTTCTTAGGTTCAGGGTTCATGTGCAGGTTTGTAAATTGTATGTCATGGGGGTTTGGTGTAGAGCTTATTTTGTCACCCAGGTACCAATCACTTGAATAGAGAGTCCCCTCCCCTGTGCTTGTTTTTATTAATTGTCAGAAATCAGATGATTGTAGTTGTGCAGCATTACTTCTGGGCTCTCTATTCTGTCCCATTGATCCATGTGTCTGTTTTTGTACGAGTGTCATGCTGTTTTCATTATTGTAGCTTTTCAATGTAGTTTGAAGTTGGGTAATTTAATGCCTCCACATTTGTTCTGCCTTGGCTGTTAGAGTCTTTTTTGGTTCCTCGTAAATTTTAACATAGTGTTTTTTTCTAGTTCTGTGAAGAATGTCATTGATAGTTTGATGGGAGTAGCATTAAATCTGTAAATTGCTTTGGGCAGTATGGCCATTTTAACAATATTAATTCTTCTTATCCATGAGCACGGAATGGTTTTCTATTTGTTTGTGTCATCTCTGATTTCCTTTGAGCAGTGTTTTGTAATTCTCATGGTAGAGATATTTCCCCTCCATGGTTATCTGTATTCCTAGGTATGATGCTGATTTACCATTCCAACAATCCTAGGGCACACACACACATACACACAGGTACACACATGTACATGGAGGCATGCACACAGGTACACACCCATACACACACACAGTCACACACTTGCATATGCATACACACTAGTACACCCGAACACATATACACACAGGCACACACACATACACATTACAGCATCTATTTTTGGCTAACAATAATAAATGAGTCCATAACACCCAAACTTCCTAGTTTCCAACCAGCTGAGACCTACAGATCATTTATGATTCTTTTTATCCTTCATTCTCAAGTACTTTTTTCCACATTGATGCCACAGGCATTTATTGACTGCCCCCTGTGTGCCTGACTTCTCAGCCTAGAAGCAACGAAAGCCAATGCGCTGGTGTCTCATGCAGGGGGTTATGCAAGGCTGTGTCCTGCTCAGCAGCAGCAGAACCTCTGTGGAAGATCTGAGAGGGAGGAACACTGCAGCCAGATCCAGGACATATCACAGCAAGAGCAGCTGGATGCAGAAGCAGAAGCCCAAGAGCCACTCACATGCATGTGACCAGCTGGTTTCACCCATGGCACAGACCTTATCTCATCAAGCTGGCATTGCCTGTGGGCAAAGTCAGGACCACAGCAAGTGCATACTGTCCCTCAAATTTCAAACAGGGAGTGGATTAATGACTCAATCTGAGAGTCTGTGCTTGTGAGCTTCCCAGAAAACAAACTTGCAGGACAAAAGAACCCACAGTGCACACTGGACCTGCTTCCTGTTCCTGCAATGCCCCAGGTGAAAATGCAGAGTGTTGAGGAGGTTTTTATTTCACTTCCCACTTTTTTTACTGCATGAACTTTAAGCACACATGTATTAATTTTATTTTTGTCAGCCAGGAAATTGTGGGACTTTCTGTTCTGTTCTCTTTAGCTCTGTTTTGTAGTTAACAACAGTAATAAAAGGTGGACATAATGTATGTAAGACTTATGCTTAACTTATGCTTAAGTTTTCACGATGGATGAGATGGACAATTATACCATTGAAAAGAAGCTGGTTCTGTCTGACAGCTGTTATCTGGTGATCTCTCATGTCATAGTTCTACCAAGACTGAGCACATTGGTCTCTGTCATTTTGGGTGCAATCTCTCCAAAGCAACATCCGTCATTGATTTTCAGTGATTCTTTAGGGGGCCAAGAGCCTTGGACCACACAAGCACAATCCAGTCTCTGTTGTGACTTTATGCCTCCTAAGCCATCCTTCCTCATTATCTAATTTTTGGTATCACAGTAACCTCTTACATGAGAAAAGGTTTAGATGGTTGATATTCCCACTTCCAGCCCCAACAATCTCACAGTAAAGGTGCCACCAAGTATTCATGTTGGCTTCCATTTACTTGCAGAATCTTTGCCATTCTCATATTTAACCAAGAGTTGAGTTGAGTGGCTCTGACCAGGGTGGAAGATGATAGCAGCCTGAACTTATACTGTGAAAATGTAAGAAATATGTTATAATAACAGTACATATACAGAAGAGTTGTTAAGAGATTACATTTTAAAACTATGTAAAATACTTAAAATACACAGAAAGCACTTGACATTAGTTAGGTAACATTAATAATAATAATAACAATAATACTAAATATAATCTACCCACAAAATTATCAACCTCTGAATCCTCATAGTCATGAGCTTGTCACGTCACTTTCGTGCAAAAAAAGATCTCTGTGACCTAGAGAGAGGCAAGTTAGAGACAGTGAAATGGAAGCTCAGAGTGGCCCTTCCAAGTACCCACTGTCAACCAGGTGCAGGGCTCCTGCCTGCTGACCACCCTGCAAGGACAGCTGATCTAGGACCCTTCAGACCCCGGAGTCCGCTTGCATTTTCAGGAGCATAAGTGCCAAATCCCAGCACCCGTATGAAGTGTCCACCATTCAGCCTCATGGGATGGCTGTGCTTCAGATCCGTCATCGGCCCAAGCTAATCTGCCTTTCCTCCTTTTCCTCTGTGAGATCCCAGTAGAAAATAAGGCTCCCACATTCTTTATTTCCACCAACTTCAATGTAGGAAGAGCTCATATTACAACTGCCAGTGATTCCAAATGAAGCTGGAATTAATCTATTGCCTTTTTTTCAATTTCTTCCTATCTGTGCAGGTGTATCTTACAGGAACATACAGAAATGGTATCCTGAGAGAGGATTTTGAATGATCTTCTAGGCATTGTTCACTCTTGACACTTAAGTTGAAGTATTAAATATTCCAACCTGTCTTTGATAAGGATATAGGACTTACTTTACAAGATACAACCTGATTGTTAAATTGGTCATTTCTAGACATTGATTCTACAAGAAGACCTCAGTTAAGTCTCACACCATCCATTTTATCACAAATCCCATCACAAACAGCTTATTGAGAATTCCCTGAACAAAGCTAGATGCCTGGTCCCAGGCACACATGTAATGAGATTCCTTGGAAGCACCCATTTCTACCTTCATTATAATGAAATTCTCCTGTATCAAGGCCTCATTTCATTTTGTGACTGTCTTTGCCTTGATTCCTTGAATCTTCTTGGCACAAAAAACCTGGTCTGAAATCATGAATACATCTCTATGTTCTTGCTTTCTTCCAGCTATTTCCTCTTTTTAGGACAGCCTGCTCGGCTTGCATGTTGTTTCCAGCAGGTTTCTGATGTCTTACTTATCCTAAATACACCCGATCCAGCCACACGTGTTTCAGGAGTCCTTTTATGACCCCCTGGATAATGTTGGCCACCCTTTCCTGTGTGCCCTTCATTTTTATTGCTTCTACTATGCAGGCCAAAGAACAACATTAGTAAAAGTTTAGTCTCAAGTAATAAGGAACTTCTGCTTATTAAGATATCTAAGTGGTGTTTTGTTATTTTTATTGTGTTCTGCCCAACCTGTATTTGGCCAAACATTGATAAGATGAATTGCCTTGTGGACATGCCCACTTTGAGAGGAACTGAGTGTGGCTTATGGCCATCAGCCAGCTAGAAACTGAGGCCTTCACTCCAGTAACCCGGAAGGCACTGGATTCTGCCAGTCACCCATGACCTTGGAAGCAGGTCATTCCCCACTGAGGCTTCTGGGAGACCCTGCTTTTGGATTATGCCTTCATTGCAGCCCACTGAGGATCCAAGCTGAGGCACTAGCTAAGTTCTGCCTGTCTACACAAAAATCACTACAACTTTTGCAGCTTGAAGCCAACAAAAGGTGAGACTGCAAATGGCAATTATAATACAGCATGGCACACAAGGAAACAGGACACATGCAATCCTGGAAGATGGGGAAGAAGGAGTGTCAGGAAAGGTTTTGCAATGGCCTCTAAGTGGAGTATTCAAGAATTATATGAAAGCGTATTTCATGCTGGGCATGTTGGCTCACGCCTGTAATCCCAGCACTTTGGGAAGCTGAGGTCGGTGGATCACCTGAGGTCAGGAGTTCAAGACTAGCCTATCCAATATGGTGAAACCCCATCTCTACTAAAAACAAAATACAAAAATTAGTGAAACAGGAGCATTTCTGTTATTGATTTTATAGCTGCGAAGGAAGCAGAGTCAGGATTAGTGAGCGATATTCAGAATTATGCTTAATTGGATGCTTTTATGTAAGTTCTAAGAAATTACTGGGTGGTGCCAAGGCTGAAAGATGTGCTGAGATCAACAGGCTTCCCCTGAGTAAGGTAAAGGATTTTGTTGTTAACCACAAAACATGTTTCTTGTGTACACTGAGTATTTCCCAGAGACTCTCATGACCTATTGCTTACTATGGAGGAATCCTTTGGTTCAGATGAAGGAAAGCTTTCCATCAATGCAAGCATTGTGACAACGTTGATTGATGGTTATTGCAACCCAGCTGTCCCTCAGAATGAGTGTGTTCACTGGAGGAGGTGACAGTACCCTCATCAAATTAATGAAAGTAAATGTCTAGGTTTTTAGCAAAAGCATAAAGTCTGAAAGAAAGCATAGCGTACATTAACCAGCTTGCCCTGTAGCCCACTTCCATATAACTGCTTACTCTTTAGAGTCATGTACCCTGTATCACAAGGTCCTAACCTCATAGGTAACGTCTCAAACAGTAGGAAATCTCACGTTTTCCACTCAAGATATTTTCTGCATCATGCATTATAACAGTTCCACAGATGCCATCCAATCTACAGGCCCCTCTGAGGAACTGACTCAGCCCCACAATGCAGTTACCACATCCTTAGGCTTTCATAGTCCACACCCTGGCCAGTCAGCACCCCGCCCTGCTCCTCAGCCCCCTGCCTGCCAAAATTCCCTTGAAACCCCTGTCTAAAACTCCTCAGGGCAGTGAATTCGAAGTTTCCTCCTACTTCCTCGTTTGTCTGCCATTCAATTATTAAACCCCTTTTCTGCTGCAACAGCCACTATTTCTGTGTGTTGATCAGTTACTGCACAATGGGCACAAATATGCGGGTCCTATACAGAAGATCCCCCTGTCAGGTGTCTATGAGAAAGCTCCTGTAACCCCAAGGAGAAAGTGAGGCACGGACAGCGTCTTCCTCAACTTCCTTCCAGAGGATCGCACTACACACCCAACAGCAGGCTCTCAGAAGTCTTAACATATAAAAACGTAGTAGATAGGTAAATAGACTTGCAGAAGGATAGGTTTTCCTCCCCTCAATTCTTAACATATTCACCCTCACTCATGCACATTCTCATGTACAGTTTCCCAGTTACCCTCCCTAATCAGATGCTCTTACCAAACTGTGCCCTGTGTCCGGCTGTGTGCAGTTGGGGGTGAAGGGAAGGGAGGAAGGAAAGACAAGAGACTTGGCCCTGATGGTCCTCAGTCATGGGGAGACCAATCTTAGGCCATGCACTATTCCTTCATTGCCATTGTCAGGGCCATGTTTGCTACTTCTGGGACTGGGTTTTATTACTTTCCTTCACCTTTTCTGCTTTGCATGGGAAATGCAGATACCCATGTAGGCACAAAGGGCATTTTCTTCCCTCTCTCTTCTGAAGTTTTGATAATTAGAGTGTATAAAACAAACTGACAAGTGAAAGGTTAATATAAAAAGACATGCAAATGTGTATACACGTACATGGACATCAGATTCCTGCAAATAAGAGACTCCAGGGCGTTCCTGTTGACAGAGGGTTTCATCACATCCTGAGGCTACGGAGAGAACAGGGGTTTGGGGTCTCTGGGGGAGGTGGAGTCTCAGGTAATGGGGGAGTGGAAGAGACACATGGTGAGCCAAGGCTGTCCCCACATAGATGTGAGCCTCTCAGGGGCTCCCCAAGCTGCTCTCAGGAAGGCAGGTGGCGGCCTGTGGAGAAGCTTCTCAGACAGACCTTTAAAGTGTCAGGATCTTAGTCTGTTTTTCCTGGAAGTTAATCTTTCTTTGATCCAATAAGGCATATAAAGGGGTCCTCAGAGAAAGGCTTTTACCCTCTGTTCACTTCACTAATGTACATTTCCTCAGCACTTACAAATCTCTGCGAGAGAAGAAAGCTTTTCAGGTCTTTCTGTGTGTCGGCAGCCTCTCTGAATTGTGACCCCTCTGAATAGTCATATAAAAATATGCCAGAAAAGTACATTTTGAGTAGCACATTTTGCTTTCCTTCACCCTGTGTAACACGTCTTAAAAACAAGAGTGTACCATGAGGTCCACAGCCGGTGGCCCCACTCCTGCCTCCTGAACAAAAGCTTCAACAAAAGGGATAATTTAAAAATGAGCAGCTCTATTTCATGGGCCTCTTTCCAACCACCTGGCACTAAAGTAAAAGACCGGTGCAACTCAGAACAGGTGCAATGATCCAGGCTGGTGATTGGCAGGTCTAAAATGCCACCCAAGTCCCCTAGTCACTGTGAGTCAGCAAGATTTTCCAGAGAAGGAGGTTGGAGATAACACTATCAAATCACTTTTAGATGATCATGCCTGGTGAATGTGAGTGCCTTAATGAGGGGTGGGGTAGAGCAGGCATGTCTGATACATGAAAGCAAATGGGCCTGCTCCACACATCGCTCAGCAAACAGCCGTCTCAAGCTGCTCTTCTCTTATTTAATAATGAGGCAGTCACTTGCTTCAACAGAAAACATTTTCAACTGACTACATTATCCCATAAAGCAAAGGTATACGGTTGAAATCATATATGTTCTTAACATTTCTGGACCCTCCTATACCTATGAATAAATTTAAATGACTTGCTTATTCCAAAATGAAATTCCTATGTTATTTAGAAAACATGTTGAGGAAAATATTGGACTGGAGAGAAAAACAACTCACAAAGAGTCCTGTACTCTTCCGGTGACCTACTTCGCATTTGGAAGTTTGGTTACTTTTTATGCCAATCAAAACATCCTGCCATGTAACTATGGAGCATGTTCAGTAAAATCAAATGTTTTACCCACACAGAAAATAAAAATGAACTTTAATGTTTTTGCCTTGGTCTTCAAAAATGCACCCAAAGGAGAAACACTGCATTTCCCAAACAGGACAAAGTGATTTGGTGCCAATCTCTTAAGAATGAAGAATGAAGTGTTTAGCTAGTTTGAGAGTCAAGAAAAACTGAGAAATGCAGAACTCAAGTTTCCACTTGAAAATCATTGTAACAAGTGACAGGAGGAAAGAAAATCCTGTAGTCTTGGCATGACCCATCATTTTTAAGGGATTTTTCTATACCATCTCTGTTTATTGATTGTATAACCCTGGATGCCAAGAAGGTATAAAATCCCATGTCCAGGCATCAATACAGGCCCTCTGCTCTCAATGAGAGAAAAATACCTAGGACTTGTGGGGATACAAGGAATCCTTTGTCCAAGTGATTAGTCTTTGGTCTTTAACACTCAGCCTAGTACATTTTGGGTTGGGAGAGGGGAAAAATGGGGAATATTAACCTCATCACTAAACTAACACTAATATTCTTTAGTGGAAAAAAGGTTATCCTGTCGAACCAGCAAAATGGCTAGAGGTTTCTGCAGACATTCTAGTTCATCCAAAAGTTTTAATTAATTTTAATAATCTTAGTGAGGTGCTAAAAGAGGGACCCTAATGGGATGTGAGACTCCCAAACTCAAAGAGATTCTAGTTTCATGAAAAGCAAATTCTGTGACTTCACAAACTAGATATTTCATTAAGGTCACAATGTAGCCAAGCAATTCTGGGCATGACTGTTTAAAACAGGAATGTGAAACCAGAGCAAAGGCAGCCCTCCTTTGGCTGGGCGATGGCATAGCAGACCAGGAACTTTCCCCCACATGGTGCTCTATACAGGACAGGGGTGAATCAGCTCAGCTACACCATGTGCCTTAGAGACTCTGAACATGAGACATGTGGAAAAAGACCCTAAAAAACAATTACAGGCAGAATGCAGGAAAAACAGCCAGATCACCAGGCGTGGTGGCTCATACCAATAATTCCAGCATTTTGGGAGGCTGAGCCAGGAGGATCTCTTCAGCTCAGACCAACCTGGAACACACCACAAGAACTTGTCTCTGCTAAAAGGAAAAATTTTAAAAATTAGCTGGGTGTAGTGGCACCTGTCTGTAGTCTCAGCTACTTGGGAGGCTGAAGTAGAAGGATTGCTTGAACCCAGGAGGTCAACGCTGCAGGGCACTGTGATTGCACCATTGCACTTAAATCTTGGCAAAATTTTTTACAGTGGCAACACAGGTTATGGGATGGAGAGAAGAACAAGCCTGGCTAGCAAACGAGGTTTCATTATTTAGATGAAATCTCCCAGGAAGCAGCCCTCAGAGAGAACAGCTGGGAAATGTTTTTCTTTAGACCTTTAAAGGTATCAGATTCTCAGTTAATCTTTCTTCTATCCAAGAGAGATTCTCAGAGAAAGCCCAGCTGTAACAATGCAAATTTTCTCTACAGATGCAAGTCTTTCCCACTAAAGACAGCTTTTTGGCTCTTCTCGTATTTCCTGCCCTTCTGAATAGCTGTCTTGAAATGTGTCAAAGAAATTTATTTTAGTGCAAAATGTATTGGTTCCCTTGAAGCTCAACTCTGACTCCAAGTAAGACAAGAGGGGATTTATAACCATAGAGCACGGTGAGGTCAGAGGAGAAAAAATTGCTAAGAGGAAGCACCAGAGGTTAGGGTGGCAACAGCAAGGCAGAAATTCTGGAATACCAAACGATATGGTTTGGTTCTGTGTCCCCACCGAAATATCATGTCAAATTGTAATTCCCGGTGTTGAAGGAGGGGCCTAGTGGGAGGAGATTGAATCATGAGGGCTGACTTTCCTTTTACTCTTCTCATAATAGAATTCTCATGAGATCTGGTTGTTTGAAAGTGTGTAGCACCTCCACCTTCTCTCTCTCTCTCCCTCTCCCTCTCCTGCCAGCCAAGTGAAGACATGCTTACTTCCCCTTCACCTTCCTTCATGATGGTAAGTTTCCCGAGGCCTCCCGTGCCATGCCTTCTGTACAGCCTGCAGAACTGTGAGTCAATTAAACCTCTTTTCTTTGTAAATTACCCAGTCTCAGGTAGTTCTTTATAGCAGTGGGAGAATAAAATAATACAGAAAATTGGTACTAAATAGTGAAGCATTGATATAAAGATACCTGAAAATGTCAAAGCAAATTTGGAACTGGATAGGTAGTAGGTGTGATTGGAAGAGTTTAGAGGGCTCAGAAGAAGATGGAAAGATGAAGGAGGGTTTTGACTTCCTAGAGACTTGAATGGTTATGAAGAAAATGCTGATAGGGATATGAACAATGAAGTCCAGGCTGAGGAGTTCTCAGATGGAGATGAGAAACTTATTGGGAACTGGAGTAAAGGTCACTCTTCCTATGCTTTAGCAAAAAGATTGGCATCATCGTGTTCCTACCCTAGAGATCTGTGTCACTTTGAGCTTGAGTGAGATGATTTAGGGTATCTGATGGAAGAAATTTCTAAGCATCAAAGCAAGCAAGATGTGGCCTGGCTGCCTCTAACAGCATATTCTCACGTGCATGCCCAAAGAGATTATCTGAAACTGGAACTCATATTTAAAAGGGAAGCAGAAGATAAATGTTTGAATAACTTGAGCCTGGCCATGTAGCAGAAAAGAAAATATTATTTTCTGAGGAAGAATTCAAGGTGGTTGCAGAAATTTGCATGAGTAAAGAAGAGCCAAATGTTAATAGCCAAGACAATAGGGAAAAATGCCTCCAAGGTATTTCAGAGACCTTCAAGGTAACCCCTTCTATCACAGACCTGGAGGTTTAGGAGAGAAAAATAATTTCATGGGCCAAGCCCAGGGTCCTACTGCTCTGTGAAGTCTTGGGACATGGCACCCTGCATACCAGCCACTTCAGCCCCAGCCATGGCTAAAAGGGCCTCAGATACATCCTGAGCTATTGTTTTAGAGGATGCTAGCCCCAATGTGTGGTGACTTCCATGTAGTTTTAAGCCTGTGCCTGCTCAGAGACTAAGAGATGAGGCTTGGGGGCCTCTGCCTAGATTTCAGAGAATGTATAAAAATGCATGGACGTCCAGGCAGAAGCCTGCTGCAAGGGTGGAACACTCATGGAGAACTTCTTCTAGGGCAGTGTGGAGGGGGAATGTGGGGTTTGAGCTCCCACACAAAATTTCCACTGGGGCACTGCCTAGTGGAGCTATGAGAAGAGGGCCACCATCCTCCAGAACCCAGAATGGTATATCCACTGAAAGCTCATACTGTGTGCCTGGAAAAGCTGCAGACACTCAATGCCAGCCAGTGAAAGCAGCCATGGGGCCTTTACCCTGTATAGCCACAGAGGTAGAGCTGCCCAAGACCCTGGGAGCCCACCTCTTGCATTAGTGTGGCCTTGATATGAGACATGGAGTCAATAGAGATTATTTCGGAGCTTTGAAATTTATTGACTGCCTTTCTGGGTTTTGGACTTTTATGGGGCCTGTAGCCCCTTTGTTTGGGCCAATTTCTCCATTTTGGAACAGAAGCATTTACTCAATACCCCATTTCCATTGTATCTAGAAAGTAACTAACCTATTTTTGATTTTATGACTCATAGTTGGAAGGGACTTGCCTTGTCTCAGATGAGACTTTAGAATTGGACTTTTGAGCTAATGCTGAAATAAGTTAAGACTTTGGGGGACTGTTAGGAAGGCATAATTATCTTTGGAAATGTGAAAAGAATGTGAGATTTGGAAGGGGCTGGGGCGGAGTGATATGGTTTGGCTCTGTGTCCCCACCCAAATTACATGTGAAATTCTAGTTCCCACTGTTGGGGAAGGGGCCTGGTGGGAGGTGATTGAATCATGGAGGCTGACTTCTCTCTTGCTGTTCTCATCATATGGTTCTCCTGAGATCTAGTTGTTTGAAAGTGTGTAGCACCTCCACCTTCTTTCTCTCTCTCTCTCTCTCCTGCCAGCAATGTGAATATATGCTTGCTTCCCCTTTGCCTTCCTCCGTGATTGTAAGTTTCCTGAGGCCTCCACAGCCATACTTTCTGTACAGCCTGTGGAACTGTGAGTCAATTAAACCTCTTTTCTTTGTAAATTACCCAGTCTCAGGTAGTTCTTTAGTTCTTTATAGCAGTGTGAGAATGGACTAATACACAAGAATACAGTCAGAGCAAAGTTTCACTATTCTCACATTTCCTCGGTACTAATCAAATATGTCCATGCTCTGCTCTTGGCCGTCTATGGGAAGGTGGGGTTTGCAACACCTTACATTGTCTGGGGACCCAGGGCTGGAATTGCTCCCTCAGTGAATCACTGGGGGTGGGATTGACAGAGATAGGGGGTCCATATGCTTAGGAAAGTGGATGTAATTGGGCTGTACCAATGAGGAGTCTGTGTTAGGGAGGGTAGTTCTGTGTCTACAGAACACAGAGGGAATTTATGCTACTACAGGTAGAAATTATAAGCCCCTGGGGACATCCAATGTCAGTCTTCTTTTACCTAATTTGGGACATAACTGTCAAGTATGTTTTCCTTTATACTGGAGAATAATGTTAGAAATGATATCTCCTGCCTATCTACAAAACTCCTCTATAAAAATGTAGAAAAGAAAGAAAATAATTTTCTCATTCAAAAGGCATTAAACCACACTGCAATGTGCACCATAGGTAATGTCTAATGAAACTACAGGGCACTGGAGCCTTAGACCCTGCCACTTTGTTGACACCTACTGGGCAACCAAAGGAACTAGTACACAACTGCCTAGTGGTTATAGATCAAGAGTCTTCCAGGCGACCAGATCTGAAGGACACAGCCCTCCAGGGTGGAGACTGGATGCTCTTTGTGGACAGAAGCAGCCTAGTCACCAACAGAAGGAGGAATGCTGTCTAGGCTATAGTGACTCTCTTGGAGGTAATAGCTGCAAGAACTCTCCCAACAGGGACTTCTGTGCAAAAGGCTGAGTAAATTGCCCTTATGAGAGCCTTGCATCTGTCCAAAGGTAAGAGAACCAATATCTAAACTGATTCCAAATATTCTTTCATGATAGCCCATGCACACAGAGCTATTTGCAAGGAAAGGGGCAGATAATACTAAAATTAAATATGCAAAGCCATGTTGGAGCTATTGGAGGTATTGGCAACCCCAAGGGAAACAGCTGTTAGACATTGTCCATGCCATCAGCACAGGAATTCCAATCTAGCTAGAGGGAACGCTTTCACTGACTGCACAGCCAGGCACCCAACCAATAGCAGTGCTGAGGTCCAGGCACCTTTAATTCCCCAAATAGATCTGACAGCTTTCAAATCCCAGTATCCTCTTGAGGATAAAAAGGCTACCAAGGACAGAGGATGTATTCAAGATAAGAAAGGTTGAAAACTAAATGATGAAGGCGTGGTTTGGATGCCAACACACCTTGTTCAACCAATGCCAAAATATACACATGATAGCATGCATTTCGGATGAGATGCCTCATTAACTTTCTTGCAAAAATATATAAAAGGAAAAGGCCTGAAGGCTCACTTGGAAAGGATAACACAACAGTGAGACCTTTGTGCTAAAAACGAGCCCAGTAACCATAGCAGAGGACAGCCTGGACAATAGGAGAGAGGTTTTGCTTTGGAAAAATAAATTTCTAAATTGACTGGGGCATGTCTCAGGTATTTGGGGCTCACAATACCTAAATAAATTAAAAGCAGAAACTAAAACATGTTTTTGAAGCAATGTTAGTATTCATGATAACCTTATTCATAATAATTCTATTCACAATAATCAAAAGGTGAAAATGCAAGTGAGCATCAGCAAATGAAAGGATAAACAGAGTTTAGTGTCTACAAAGGGACATTATTTAGTTTTAAAAAGGAAGGAAATTCAGATACGTGCAATAATATGGTTGAACCTTGAGGACATTTTACTAAGCCAAATAAACCAGACACAAAAGGACAAATACTGTATAAGTCCAACTATGTGAGGTGCCTAGAATAATTAAATGCAAAGACAGGAAGTAGAATGGTGGTTGCCAGAGGATGAAATAAAGGGAAATGGGAAGTTGTTGTTTAATGAGCAGAGTTTTAGGTTGGGATGATTAAAATTGTAATATATGTATACTGGTGATGCTTGCTCAATAAGGTTGATGGACTTAATGCTAATAAACTATATGTTTTAAAATGGTTAAATGATGAATTGTATGTTATACATATTTTACCACACTAAAGAAAAGGTTTAATGACAAATAACAAAGCCAGGATACATCGAAGATCTACACCCATTTCCTTCTTTCCTAGGCCCTGGAGAAATGCAGAGATGCAGGTTTAACCAGGTCCATCAGGGTGTCCAGTTTCAATCACTAACTGCTGGAACTGATCCTCAGACAAGCCAGGACTCAAGTACAAGCCCACCTACAACCAGATGAGCCCTTAGGGCCACTGGGGCCATTTCTGACTTTGTGCTCTTCACATACTTCCTTACATTAGAATAATGTAATTGTTCAGTATGTTGTGCTTTAATTTTTTAAGAAAATGTCAAAGGCTAGCCATGACACGGTTATGTGTATTTCTTTTAACTTTTCCATAAATATTAAATAATGTAATTGTTCAGAAATAGAATCAGAATCGTTTCATAAATATTAGATAAGGTAATTTTTCAGAATTAGAATTAAATAATGTAATTTAGGTCTCCAAAACTTTTTTATTTTCAATATTTTTAACTTTTATTTTAAGTTCGGGGGTGCACATGCAGGTTTGTTATATAGGTAAACTCATGCCATGGTGGTTTGTTCTACAAATTATTTTGTTACCCAGGTATGAAGCCTAGTACTCATTAGTTATTTTTCAAAATCTTCTCCCTTGTCCCAATTTTGATAAATTGGTAGAGGCAACAGCCTGAATAGAGGTTCATTCAAGTGTAGGAAGAGAAGAATTAGATACAGAAGTGTAGAAGGTATTCAAAGAATGGGTTATAAATACACCAGACAATTGAGAAGTCCCTGAAGAAAACAATGAAGTCAAATGACAATTTTCTTTGAGATGACAGAAAAAACAGCATGCCTATGTGCTCTTAGGAAGAATCTAGTAGAAAGAGAAAAATTGATGATGCAGGAGAGAGATGAGAATTGCTGAATCACGTTTGAATTCATTTCTTATTTCTGCAGTAAAAAATTATCACAAATGTTGTGGCCTGAAGCACCATAATTAATTTTCTCACAGTTCTGGAGATCAGAATTCCAAAATCTCGTTCAACAGGCTAAAGTCAGGGTGTCCACAAGGTTGTATTTTTTCTTGAGGGTCTAGGGGAAAATGCTATTCTGGGCCATTCCAGGTTCCAGAGAATGTGTTCCTTGGCTCATGGCACTTATTCTATCTTGAAAGCCAACTGCATGGCATCTTAGGATCTCTTCCCTATGGGTCTTTCCTTACACATCCTCTTTGATTGTGGCCCTCCTGGGTGCCACTTGTAAGGATTTTGAGATGACATTGCCCATCCAGATGATTCAGGAAATGCTTCTATCTTAGGATCCTTAACATAATCACATCTGCAAAGTTTGTTTTGCCAGGTAAGGTAACATAGTCACAGCTTCCAAAGATAAAGGCATGAGTTATTGGCAGGGCAGGGGGAGGGAGCAGTATTGAGCCTACTGTACTAGCTTTGTGGAGAACTTGAAGCAAGTAAGCCTTAATTTTCTAGCCTTGCTAATAGAAAGTACTATATCACTAGCCACTAGGTCCTGAAAAATCTAGATTTCATCTCAGATATAATGAAATAAAAACCTGTTCCTTAGCTCTGATATCATTTATACCCTATCATATGTCCCCTTCTAGATATAGTCCCTTTATTCCCTTAGTTTACCCTTTCTCCCAGGATTTGTGAATATCTTTTTTCGCTGTACATGCAGAGAACTCCAGCATTGCTGTTCTTTACATTCTCAACAACTGAAAGTTTCTACTCATACCTAGATTATACTTCAGGCAACTACTTCCATGTTATAACTTATACAGACAAAGAAGTACTTATAACTGCTCTATGAACCTTTAACTTTAACACACTTCATACTAATGAAGCCTCTTACGCTTCGATTTTCACTACACATCAGTTCATCAAGTTCTTGTTCATTAAGGGTTGCAGTCATTGGGTCTCTCGTGTTTCCTCTTTCCATTCTTTCAATCCCCACACAGGTTTACATATTCAGATTTGCTTACATAATAAAGTAAATTGAAATCCTCAGACTACACTCATTCTCTCTAAATTTCTCCTTTAGGTTTTCTGCTGATTGGGGTCTCTTGTCCTTGTACCTATTGATCTGTGCTTATAGCAAACAAACTGGATCAATGTGCGTGCAGCCAGATCAAATTGCCCTGCTTGTGTTTTTGTAGACCATCTTGCCAAAAGCTAAAATCCTACACCAGAGATTCTTATTCATTAGATCTGTAGTGAAGTCTAGGTATTACTATGTTTTATTTATTTTATTTTTGGATTTGTATAAAATTAAAGTTTACAAGTGCAGTTTGCTACATAGATACATTGCACAGTGGTGAGGTCTGGGCTTTTAGTGTAGCTATCACCAGAATAATGTCCATTGTATTTACCCAATAATTTCCCAGCCTCCCAGCCTTCTGAGTCTCCACCAGTGGGAGACAGAAGATCCAGTGGGCAGATACCAAGTGCCTGTAGGTGTGCCTAGGCATGGAGTTGGGAAACCTCTGCTCTTTGATGAATTTTAAAGAGGTTATTTGGGTTTTCTTGTTATTGTTGTTGTTGGGTTGAGTTCCTTATAAATTTTGGATATCAGTGCCCTATTAGATTCACAATTTGCAATTATTTTTCCCAATTGTGTAGGTCATCTGTTCTCTGTTGATTTTTTTTTTTTTTGCTTTACAGAAGCTTATTGGTCTAATTAAGTCATATGCATCTCTTCCTATTCTCTCATTTGTGTTTTTGAAATCTTAGTCTGAGTTCCTTGCTGAGACCTACTTAGGAATTTTTTGCCCCAATAAGTTTACCTTAGATTTTCTTCTAGCACTTGATAGTCTCAGGTCTTATATTTAATTAAGACTTTGATTTATTTCCAGTTGTTTTAAAAGCTTGCAAAGCTATTTTGAGGTATAAGCAAGGTTGCACGTCTAACTTTTTGAAAATATCAATTTTTCATTACGGTTTTAGGGGTTAGGATTGCCTTATCATCAACATGAATTTTGCTATAAAAGCTTTGCTAAGGTCACTCATGTTTATTCCCTTGCCCTTGGCATGAACTACAGTGGGAAGAGTGCTGCAACCCAGCCCTAGCCAACGCCGCATGAGAGGGAGTGTGCCGAGGGCTTCTGAGAAGGTTTCTCTCACATCTAGAAAGAAGCGCTTAAGATGTGGCAGCCCCTCTTCTTCAAGTGGCTCTTGTCCTGTTGCCCTGGGAGTTCTCAAATTGCTGCAGCAGCCTCCACCCAGCCTGAGGATGACATCAATACACAGAGGAAGAAGAGTCAGGAAAAGATGAGAGAAGTTACAGACTCTCCTGGGCGACCCCGAGAGCTTACCATTCCTCAGACTTCTTCACATGGTGCTAACAGATTTGTATGTGAAATGAGACAGTTTCCTGATTCCCCTTGCAGGACTTGCGACAGGGGTGTGGCTCACCGGTTCAAACTGCTTGAGGGAGGGGGAGCATGGAGATGGGCAGGTGCACAGGCCAGGGCGAGCGCTTTGGGCTCTGGCTCCATGGTAGTGTCTAGTGGTGGGTGCCTGCAACCACAGTGTTGTAAAGCTCTTTCAGCTTTGCCATCTGCAGACGGCTTGAGTCTGCAGCTCCATGGACCCTCTGACTTATCTCAAAGGCAGAGGGCCAGTGTGACAGCTTTCTATATCCCAAGCTCTTGCCAGGCATCCCAGAAGAGTCAGATCACATGTGGGCTCAAAG